>NC_000004.12:112103199-112254714 GCF_000001405.40 Homo sapiens
GTGACATCCGGGAATTGGCCCAATTCGTGGGTAGAGACAAACAAATCTTCCTCCCTACAAGCTTACATACCTACCTTTATTCTAACCTTCATCTCTACATAATCCCCATTCCTCAAAAGTTTATAAAATAATTGCCTTGTGCAAATTAGCATTGTTCAAGTGCAATCCTAAATAACACTGACGCATATTTCTATTTCTGCTATTGGTTTTTGTGACAATGATAAAGACATGCTATTTCCTGAAACAATAAGTGACCCTTTGATTTTAAAATTTGGCCTTTTTTTTTTTCCTTTTACAGACCACTTCTTATTTCATAGTGCATTACTATATTATTATTTACAAAACATTCTTTTGTAAATAATACAAAATTATTCTGGAGTGCAGCAGCGCGATCTCGGCTCACTGCAAGCTCCGCCTCCCGGGTTCATGCCATTCTCCTGCCTCAGCCTCCCAAGTAGCTGGGACTACAGGCGCCCGCCACCACGCTCGGCTAATTTTTTTTTTTTTTTTTTTTTTTGGTATTTTTAGTAGAGACAGGGTTTCACGTGTGAGCCAGGATGGTGTCGATCTCCTGACCTCATGATCCGCCCGCCTCGGCCTCCGAAAGTGCTGGGATTACAGGTGTGAGCCACCGTGCCCGGCCTACAAAACATTCTTAATCAATATTTGTTTGATTCAAAATCCTGTGAAGAATAAATTTAAGGCTCCCATAATTTCAGTCCTACATGTATTCCACTGTACATAATTTGTTTCAAACAAAATGGAAAAATCCCCATCCCCACAAGCTCGTCACTCTTTCTAAGTGAGAATGGGTCATTTCTTCTGTATCCTTAAACAGTTCAGAGACGAAAAATCAAGGAGCATAGGAAATGAAGCCTGTCGCACAATTAGGATCCAGTTCATACTCACTGGGACTACTTGGAGAATTTTCTGAAATCCCTTGTCTCAAGCTTCACTTCTATCCCTTCATTTCTGCTGCACACCACCTAAATTGAAGTTGCCTAGATATTCATTCTGTAAATTATTCATTCTCTCTCTCTCTCAGTATGAGTAGCCTGGCAATGCCAGACAAAAAGAAAAAAAAAGTCTTCAGAAATACTATGAATGTTTTAGTACAACCAAGCAAGCACTTTGATTTATTCATTGATTCAAAAAAGATTAATTAAGTAACCTCTATCTTTCAGGCATTGTGCTAGATATTGCTTATATAGTGATTAATAGGACAGAAGTAGTCCTACTCTTGTGAGGCTTACCACTTAGTGAAAGAATAAGACATGAGAAAAACAAACACACACACACACACATATATAATTACAGATTGCAGTGATAAAAAAAGAAAAGAGGGACATCTATGATTATAACAAGGAAGCACCCAATTCATGCTGTGGGATCAGAGACAACTTCTCTAAAATAGGATATGCAATTTAAGGCCTAAGGGATGTACAGGAGTTAGCTAGGTGAAGATTTGGGGGAAGTTATTCTAAGCAGAACATATGCAGTGTTCCTAGAACAACAAAGAGCTTGGCGCATTAAGAAATTGAGAAAGTCCAATGTGGTGGAGCTTAGTGAGCAGTGGGGGGAAGATCATCTAAGATGGACTCAGCATCATATAACTTCTCTGGAGTTTTGTTAAAAATCCAGAATGTCTAACTCAAAAAAGCATTTTGCAATATATTATAATTTACAATGGAAATTTGAATTTCAAGTTCCAAGCAAAATTATACAAATAAGCATCTTCTTGGCATCAACCTGGCATCTTCCACAGTCTCCCACATACCACTCCCCTACACCCTGTCCCTGCTAAATAATGGGTACGTCTTTTAATGAAATTTTTCAAGTGGTCTAAACTTGGTAGAATGCTAACATGAAACCATTTTTTTCTCCTTTTAACCATGCTCTATACAATCTCTCTTTCCTATTTTTTAATATCCTGAGCAGATTGCATAGGCAGGGGGTTACTTTCAGTTATTAATTTCTAGCCTAGTCTAATCAAATTTTTAAAACTTCAATCTTGATCCAATTTTATGTTGTTTTTTTTTTTCCTCCAAGCACCAACCAAATTTGGCTTCAGTGATTTGGGAGAAAGGCAAAATTTGCTCATTCACTCCTCCTCGCCTGGGTTTCTTTATTCTTCAGTGTATTGGTGAGAGAGAGATGGGGCCCAAGTTCTCTAGTTTGACATAACAGACTCTTCACAGTCTAGCCCTTGCCAAGCAGAATTCGAGTATCATGGAGAAGCAGAGCATGTTTTCCCCAGTCAGGCCTAAGCTGGAACACAAGAGAAGCCTAAATTAGATAAGAATCCTAAATTATGATATTATCCTTGATTGGGATTTTTATTGGCTAAAACAAGGCCTCCTTGTGATTGAAGGAATCAGAATGCTATTACACCTGCCAAATATTTCATCCAGGAAAGGAAGAGTCAATCCAAAAGCAGGTTTAAAAGGAAAGAATAGAAAATAATTCTCTCACTACACAGTCCAGCTTGTTTGATAAAATTGCTGCACAAGTTATAATGTGTTTTGAAGCAGATATAAAAAAAGAGCTATAAAGTCAACAGAGAGCTGAAATTACATAGAAAGTGAAAGCCATCTGTTGACTATATCAAGTCTAGTTAAAATCCCTAGTCTGCTCAGGGCTTGTATGAAATAAATAAATTAGGTAGTACAATTATCTGGACAAGTCATGAGACCCTCCCCCAACAAAAAAATGTGTTACACTTATTCCTCTTTATTTTATACTTTTCTGTTAAAAACTTAACAGTTATAATTTTTTTTTACTTTTTGCTTTTGTAATTTCTAAAAGCCTCAGCAGATCCTGGAGAGTATGAGATTAACTTTAAAAGCAAAAGTTATTCTATGTTATGGAAAGACACACATGACCAGTATATGAAGTGGTCGTGTCCAGTAAGCCTGACTAAGCTCTACAAGCCTTATTTTTTCTATGTACTGTCTGTTTTCTATTGCTCCCCAAAAGCAAGACAAGCAAACTTGTCTATCTTTTAGAAGGTCCTTTACAATACATTTTATAATTTAAATCTCCTTCATTTTTAGAAAAAAAATATGTACATATTTTTTTTTGAGATAGTGTCTCACTCTGTCACCCAGGCTAGAGTGCAGTAGTGTAATCACGGGTCACTGTAGCCTCAACTTCCCAGGTTCAAATGATCCTCCTACCTCAGACTCCCAAGTAGCTGGGACCACAGGCATGCACCACCACACCTGGCTGGTTTTTTTGTTTTTCCTTTATGTTTTTGTAAAGACAGGGTCTTGCTATGTTGCCCAGGCTTGTCTTGAACTCCTTGGCTCAAGTGATCCTCTCACCTCGGCCTGCCAAGTCCTGGGATTACAGGTGTGAACTACTGCAGCCAACCTAAATCCCCTCTAAAGAGATATATGTTCTTTTTTTCATGGTCAGAAATTCTCTTATCAAGAGAGATATAAGACCTATATCCCCTCCTCAAAATCTGGGTGGGTTTGTGACTCACCTTTAACCAACAGAAAGCAGCACAAGTGGCATTTCATGACTTCCCAGTATAGGTCAGAAAAGACAATGCAGCTTCCGTTTTATATATTGAGATACTCACTTTTGGAGCCCTGGCTCCCCTGAGGTTGCCATACTTTGAGGAAGCCCAGGTGACAATAAGAGGCCATTTGTAAGTATTTCAACTGACACTTCTACTAATGTCCTAGCTGACAAATAACATTAACCACCACATAAGTGAGTGAAGATACCTCCAGATGATTCCAGCACCCAGCCCCTGAGTCATCCCCAGGCCTCATATCTCCTCAGCTGAGACCCCAGACTATGAGCAGAGATGAGCCAGTTGAACTAGGCCTTGTCCAAATTCCTGATCCACAGAATCCATGGGCACAATAAAATATTTATTATAAGCTGCTAATTCTAAGACAATAGAAATTTTGCAAAATATTGACTGGCCTGGCTAATTTCTAGAATTCATAAGCTCTACCAGTCTCTTTATCCAACAGGTCAAATATTCCCATATATATCTATTATGGATTGAATTGTGTGCCTCCCCAAATTCATATAAAGTCCTAACCCCCAATACTTCAAAATGTGACCTTATTTGGTGATAAGGTCTTTTTTTTTTTTTTCCCCGAGATGGAATTTCACTGTCGTTGCCTAGGCTGGAGTGCAATGGTGCTATCTCGGCTCACTGCAACCTCCACCCCCCAGGTTCAAGCGATTCTCCTGACTCAGCCTCCCAAGTAGCTGGGCTTATAGGCATGCACCACCACCACACCTGGCTTATTTTTTATTTTTAGTACAGACGGGGTTTCACTATGTTGATAAGGCTGGTCTCGAACTCCTGACCTCAGCTGATCCACCTACCTTGGCCTCCCAAAGTGCTGGGATTACAGATGTGACCCACCATGCCCAGCCTTGGAGATAAAGTCTTTACAGAGGTAATAAGTCAAAATGAGTTCATTAGGGTGGTCCATAATCCAATATAACTGGTATCCTTATAAAAGGGAGAAATTTGCAAACAGAAAGCCATTGACCATCAAGATAGCCATCTACAAGCCAAGAAAAGTCCTAGACAGTTCCTTCACTGACAGCCCTCAGAAGGAACCAACCCTGCCAACACCTTAACTTTGGACTTATTGCCTTCAGAACCCTGATGCAATAAATTTACATATTTAAGCAACCACTTTGTGGTACTTTGTTTCAGCATCCCAAGAAAACTAATTTAGCATCCAAGCTAGGGCCAGCAGGCAGGGAGGAGTCTCAGGGGCCAGAAACAGATGGAAGTTAGAAGGAAGCAAATATTATAGAGTCTCATTATCTATTGTTGGAACTAGACCAATGTGTGAGTATCATCTACAGTACAGTTGCACCAAGTGGTCTGCTAACTGCTTATTCCTGCTATAGTCAGGATCTTACTAAAGCAGCCATTCTATCCTTAACCAGTTCTGTTAGCAACTCAATTAGTAAGTCAAAATCATGTGTGGGATCAAACACACTGGGCTTAATCTACTTCACATAGGATGGTCACTTATATATTCTCAAATAGCTGTCTGCCTCTCCTGAGTATTTAGCAAAAGAAACATGCTCAGGCTCTTGCAAACATTCCTTAAATTATGTTATCCTATGTCCTTTGAGCACCATGCTTATTCTTTTCTGAATTTGAGTCCATTTATGCCAAAACAAGAAATAAATTTCCTATAATAAAAACTGTCTAGGCCAAGCATGTGACTCACACCTGTAATCTCAGCATTATGGGAGGCCGAAGTGCATGGATCATCTGAGGTCAGGAGTTCGAGACCAGCCTGACCAATATGGTGAAACCCCATCTCTACTAAAAATACAAAACTTAGCCAGGCATGGTGGTGCGTACCTGTAGTCCCAGCTACTGGGGAGGCTGAGGCACAAGAATCACTTGAACCTGGGAGGGGGAGCTTGCAGTAAGCCGAGATCGTGCAACTATACTCCAGCCTGGGCGACAGAGTGAGACTTCAACTCAAAAAAAAAAAAAAAAAAAAAACTGTCTAGCACTACCATTGGCTACTTTCTAAGATGGTGAGTTTACTCTTACTGAAAAGAGTTTTGAAGACTCATTCAAGGATGTTATAGAGAAATTACTAAATCAAAGAAGAAATTACGCTGGCTGTCCCTAAAGTCACCTTTCCGTTACATGATCTTATAAAAATGTAGACACCTGAGACTCAGTTATATTCTCTCATGAACTGCATAATAAATGAAGGACAAAAGGGGCACACAATGAAAACTTTAATGATGCTATATTTTAGTAAGCCTTCACAGAAGAAGAAACCTCCAGAAAAAAAAAAAAGAGCATTCTGAATAAGACACAAGCTAGTTGTTTATCATAGCATCTCACTTACCTTCCACTTAGATAAGCTAGGTCTTTACTTAATCCTATGGCCACAGATGCTCATGAAAATATTTCTAAAAAAGCGTTTTATGAAATTAGATGTACCTGCCTGATGCTTTATATCAATATTGAAATAAGAAAGCTCATAGGAAGATTTCTTTCATATGGTTAGCCTTATGACATTTTCACACAAACCTGTCTACAGGTCAATCTGAAATATGGTTCCTTTTATTATAACCTATTCAAACAAAGATTTTATCCTTGAATAAATAATAGAAATGTCAAAAGAAGGTTTTCTGTGCCTGACCCAATGCGCAACTAGGTTGCATTTCCCAGCTGTCCATCTTCCTGCTATTTTCTTTGGCAATGCTGCTGAGCAAGAAAACTTGTCTACAGACTGGGAATTCCTAAGACTCTCATATATAGGGAACTCCTACAAATTAGTAAGAAAAAAATCAGACACCCCAGTAGAAAAATGGACAAATCTCCATGTGAGGACACAAAGAAAGCACCATCTATGAGAAACAGGCCCTCTCCAGACACCAAATCTGCCGGCACCTTGATCTTAGACTTTCTAGCCTCCAGAACTGTGAGTCATACTTTTCTATTGTTTATAAATTACACAGTCCAACGTATTCTGTTATAGCAGCCCAAAGGAACTAAGACAATTGGTAAGAGCTAATACCTGGAAACTACATATGCTGGTTTTCTAGTTACTGTTTCTCAGCTCCAAAACTGTCATTCTGTACTCTGCTTTGTAAGGTTGAGGCTGGAATTCTGCAACCATATTTCTACTTTGCCAGACAAATCTATGTTAGGTTCTACCAAGGGAGGTGCTAAAGAGAGACTGGAAGGGTTGCAGAGGGAGAAGGAACTAGATTCCTTCCTGTTTTGCTTTCTGTTTCTGTCAGCATCATTACAACAATGGTTCTTCACTCTGGCATTGGCAATTGGTTGTGGTGTTCAGTTTTTCCCACACTCTCACAGCCAGTCTCCTCATCCCACTCAGAGGAATCTGTACCATCTGGGATCCTCAGGGACCCCCTTTACAAGGTCCCAAGGCATCAGCACCCCCTGAGCCACAACCCCTCTTCAGAGATCTTGATTCCATCTCCACAGAACTTCTCCTCTAAACTTCTAGGTTCTAATGATCTTTTCCCCTTTGTCCACAAGCCTTACAGGTGCTTCCTGCAGTTATTGTCTTTGTATTATCTTAGTGTTTCCTTTTCCCTTTTCAGTCCTCCAACACCTATTTAGCCAATTCTTTATATTAATTTTTTTCTTTAAAATAATTGGTACGTTTATAGTCCATCAACAGTAGAATAAAGTATAAAATATTCTCAATGTGGAATAATATACAAAAATGAGAATAAATGATCTACTATGCCTAATGACATGGATAACTCTCATAAACAATGATGAGCGAAAAGAAGCCAAACACAAAAACAGTATATAATGTATGATTTTCTTAATATAAAATATAAAAACAGGTAAAACTGATGTACAATGTTTAGAAGTCAAGACAGTTACTCTTGTTGGGGAAGGTGGGAGGGTTGGTTAGTGGCTTCAGTGCTCAGGAGGGCTTCTGCAATGCTGATAATATTCTGTGTCTTGGTCTGGATTTCATGACACAGAAGTGTCCAGTTTGTGAAAATTCATTCAGTTTTGCAAGTACAATTTGATTGATTTTCTGTTTATCATACTACCAAAAAATATTTAAATAATAATGCAGCAGCTATAAGTTGTAAACTAATGTTTGCAGTCAAACTGGATATTGACAGTAACTTTACATCATAAAAACATTTTTATAAATTCAAAAAAGTGAAAGAATCATGAGTAATTTATATTTTAAAAAATTAAAATGTTTTAAAAATAAAATATTATACAAAAATAAGCACAGTACTTTCTCTTAGCACTCTTTTACTTAGTGCCTCACATTTGTTTTTACACTCATGTCATTTCTTTTATAAACTATAATGTGCCAACTAAAACATGTCAAACCTGTAGTGCACCCAAGCTAGTTTTATCACCACAGTTTTATAAGGATATGAGAAAACTGGAGATAATTTAAGAAATAAATCATAAATTTATTCTTGAAAACCTGTCAACACTTTGGTTCTTGATTCCTATCTTCCCTTTCAGAATATAGGCCCTAATATCTACTAAAAATCTACAGTATGCTTTTTATCCACTTTAATTTTAGCTTTTAATATTCTTTTCCAATACTCCACCTGCTTGACTGTACTCGGTACTTCTTCAGTCTCCCAGATGCATTCACTCTATTGTACTGGACTGTTTTGAGGTTTGTTTGTTTTTGTGTTTTCCTATGGCAATTCATTCTGGATACCATAATATCATTGCAGGCCAGATTTTCCCACAGCGTTTCCATACTGGACTGAACTGTTTTTGTGGGCTTTTTGTTGTTTGTTTTTTTTTTTTTTCTGTGGCAATTCCTCCTGGATACCATGATCTGATTGCAGGCCAGATTTTCCCACAGCATTTCCTGAAGGGTCATCCATTCAGTACCTTCCCTGTGACCATTTCCAAGTCCTGGCCCTTCCTGATCTTCCAGGTCCTGCCCTCTCATGTGATTTAAAAAAAAACAAAAAAACAAAAAAAAACTTCCAGAATAGAATGTTCACAAATTGAACACACCTGTAAAATAGGAAGCCAGATCAAGATACAGAATATTACCAGTGCACATGATGGGGTAGTTCACACAAAGACTGCATGAGAATCTATGAAAATTATTTATTCATTCAATAGATATTTACAGTGTGTCTACAATACCAGTCACTCTTCCAGGTCCTAATGCTACCCTGGAAATTCATAAGACCAAATTTTCAGTTCTGACTCTGCTACTTTCTAACTATTTGATCTTGAATACATTACTTAACCTTTCTGAGCATCAATTTCTTTATACATAAAAATGCAGTAAAACATTTCTAAAATGTCGTAATCACCAAAGGAAAATCAAAAAAGCCTTATGGAGAAAATACAGGTTGTGGTGAGAAAGGCACAGACAATTCTAGTTAGCACAGTTAATTGAACATTGTATTAGCCTGTTCTCATGCTGCTATAAATAACTTCCTGAATCTGGGTAATTTATAAAGAAAAGAGGTTTAACTGACTCACAGTTCTGCATGGCTGGGGAGGCCTCAGGAAACCTACAATCATGGCGGAAGGCACGTCTTCAGAGGGTGGCAGCAGAATGAGTGCCGGCAGGGGAAACGCCAGACACTTATAAAACCATCAAATCTCGTGAGAACTCACTCACTATCACGAGAACAGCACAGGGGAAACCACCCCCATGATTCAATTACATCCCACCAGGTCCCTCCCATGACATGTGGGGATTGTTACAATTCAAGGTGAGATTTGGTGGGGACACAGCCAAACCAGATCGAACATCTATTTCTTCTGTTTTCACAAATCCCACAAAAATGGAGAAAAAAGGAGAAGGGTTAAAAGGCGGTAAAGTACATGAAAAAAAGATAAATGGACAATAGCAGGTGAGAAATATCTCAACAAATTTAGTGGAAAAGAAGATGGAGCAGAAGTAATTAATTTAGCAGTGTAACCTCAGGGTCCACAGAGGGAGAAACTAGTAAAGCTAGCCAATGTGTTATCTGGAGGCTTGGGGCTAGAACAGCAGAGTTCCTATGGGAAGTAGGGGTGAGGCTCAAGCTGAAATCAGGGCCTAGTTGAAAGACTGTACAGTCTGTTTGTTTATGAAGCAGCTGGAAGTCTAGGCCCCTTTCCCACTTCACCTCACCCATCAAGGACCAGAAATTCACTCAGAGAAACCCTGAACTCCTGAAACCAAACATAGTGTGGCAGATGGAAGACTGAAAATAGGGGGTGGGGGATTAAGTGAAAATCTGGATGCTGAAACTAAGACTTTCAGCTGCTTTTTCTACTCTACATTCAGAACAATAGCAGCCAGACTTACACACCGACTCTGTCACATTTGCCCCTCCATCCCCAATTCATATTTAAGTACATTGAAAGGATTCTTGAGAAGCGTGTGACAGAGATATCATAAGATCTGGAAAATCAGCAAGAAGATCTTAGCAAACTTGGCAAATGAAAAGGGAGAATTATTAACTGCAGGGAAAAGTATTATATGAGAAAGAGGTGTGGTGTAGTGCACAACATGGCTAAACATTGCGTAACATTTGCACAGTCATGATAATGTAAACACTGAGTATTGGTTTAGCCAAAAATGCTAATGTAACTACATCAGGGGATAGGGGAAGGAAACTGATGGAACACAGGAGTTTTCTAGGTATTATTGTTTGGCCTTCAACATACATTCGCACTCTTTCCACATACCCCCTTAATTACAAAGGCTGGGAAGCTAAAAATGACCACATTTCCCAAAAGGTCCTGCAGCTACAGTTCTGGACACAATTTAAGTTCTCTCATAAGATGCACTCATTTGAGATTTGGAAGGCAGAAGTGAGGCAAAGGCCATTTTCTTGTGACTGAGGCAGCTGGTAAACAAGATTAGACAGATAAGAATGTTTGCAGTAGGCCAGGCACAGTGGCTCACGCCTGTAATCCCAGCACTTTGAGAGGCTGAGGCAGATGGATCACCTGAGCTCAGGAGTTTGAGACCAGCTTGTCTAACTTGATGAAACCCCGTCTCTACTACTAAAAATACAAAATTAGCCAGTCATGGTGGTAGGTGCCTGTAATCCCATCTACTCAGGAGGCTGAAGCAGGAGAATCGCTTGAACCCAGGAGGTGGAGGTTGCACTCCATTCTGGGTGGCAGAGCAAGATGCAGTCTTTAAAAAAAAAAAAGAAGAAGAAGAAGAAGAATGTTTGCAGTAGGCAGACTTCACATCCTAATGTGTCTTCATGGATGTGGGGCATTAGCAGAGGTGACAACAGCAGCCACCTGACCTCTGTATCAACCCTACTCTACATGGTATGCCACTGAACCCAATAGTCCTGCAACAGCCTTTGCCTCCCACTCAGTTTTTCCCTGCCCCATCCCCTACTCCCAACAATTTAGTAATCACTGCACTGAATTGGTAATTCCCTGTACTGAATTACTAGAATGGTTGCATTTCCCCAAATTAAACACACACTAATACAGGGGAAAAAAACTAAGTCCCAAATGACAAATTGAGAAGTTGCAATATGAGGACATTATTTAGAAATCTAGAATTTCAGGAAAATTAGCTAGCAGAGTGGGGGTGATAAACCTTGGAGAGCAGGTCTGGGAATAGATAGAAGTTAAAGTAACTTATAAATTATACCGCAGATATCCTAAAAGCATAACTTGAATCTGACTTCATCAATACAATCTTATTGCTGTAAGATTAAGAATAATATCACCAGAGGGTAGTTTTAAACACACATACATATGCCGATTCTCTTCTTCAAAAGCTCTTCTTGGGCCTTGCATGGGGGCTCACACCTGTAGTCCCAACACTTTAGGAGGCTAAGGCAGGAGGATCCTTTTAGCCCAGCAGTTCAAGATCAGCCTGGGCAACATAGGGAGACCCCCATGTCTACAAAACACAAAAAAATTAGCCAGGCATGGTGGTGTGCACCTGTGGTCTCAGCTAGTTGGTAGGCTGAGGTGGGAGGATCTCTTGAGCCCTAGAGTTTAGGCTGCAGTGGGCTGTGATTGCACCACTATACTCCAGCCTGGGCAACAGAGCAAGACCCTATCTCAAAAAAAAAAGAAAAGTTTTTCTTGTGTCAGGTTTATAGTATTAGCATAGCCTAAGGAAGAAGTATATTCAAGCCTTTCATTGAATTCCAAAAAAAAATCAGTATATATTAATACAAACAGAACATTTTGATGCTTTCTTTTAAACCCATATATTCAGGCAGTCTAACTCTGTCCCAGATTTCTAAGAAGTATCAGGAAGCCTAAGTCTCTGTGATTACTTTTGGCTCTGCTTCTACTAATGACCATTTAGCATTTGCTAACTCTCGTCAGCCTGAATAGATTCACACAAGGAGCTCATCTCCTGTTCTTGCATTCTCCATCTACCTCTTAACCACAATGGGAAAGACTGATGCACATCCTTTTACACAAGCTTTCCAGAGAAGCTGACTTTGCTGAAGTTTGGGGACGGTGGAGAGAATTTACTTCAGAGAAACAGAAATATCTATAAAATAACATTTTAATTTGCTGTTTCTACAAAGTCTTGTAATCATTTCTGTAACCTGGCCGACAAACTCCTGCCCTGCTGTTCAGGTGTCTAGCTGTTCTGCCTCCTGGGCTCCATCTCTCATAGAATAAAAAAGTCATATTTTCTTTTTCTTTCTTTCTTTTTTCTTTTTTTTGAGATGGAGTCTGGCTCTGTCACCCAGGCTGGAGTGCAGTGGCATGATCTTGGCTCACTGCAACCTCTGCCTCCCAGGTTCAAGCAATTCTCTTGCCTCAGCCTCCTGAGTACCTGGGACTACAGGCACCTGCTACCATGCCCAGCTAATTTTTGTATTTTTAGTAGAGATGGAGTTTCACCATGTTGGCCAGGCTAGTCTCGAACACCTGGCCTCAAATGATCTGTTTACCTTGGCCTCCCAAAGGCTGGGATTACAGGCATGAGCCACCACACCTGGGGCCCCTTAAAAAGTCCTATTTTCTTACACAGAAAGATTGAAGTCACTGCAACCTTCTTCAAACCCATCTCAAGGCCTCCCAGTACAGAGTTGAAGAGCCAGAATAAACTTTGAAATTATGGCTGCCGGGTCAGCCACAGCACATTTTCAGAACACAGCCAAATCTTTCCCCATTTTTAGTCACAAGGTAGATTGTAAGGAGAGAGGCGTTAATTCAAATTGCATGAAGAATGACTTCCTGATTATCAGAACAATCAAATAATAAAAGCAGTGCCCAGAGAAAATTATAATGTGCCACAGTTGAAAATAATGCCAAAAGGTAAATAACAATCTACCTAGATAAAGTACGTAGAATAAGATTATATTTTAAAAATCCAAAGTCATCCTTGATAATAAATTTCTTACTTTGTGTGTGTGTGCATGCATTTCCATGTGTTTTTATTTAGTTATGTTTTTATATCATTAAAACTTTTTCCACTTTGGCAAGCATATTACTGGTAATGTCTCCCAATTTTCTTTGTGATCGTTAATTTCCACATAAGCAGTCATCAAATTGTAACATAACTCTAAAATCTTTTCATTCAGTAGGTTAGATTCTAAAACTGAGGAAAAGATTAAATATCTTGTTCCTTAGAAAAGTATGCATATTCAATGTTTCTGACCCACTCATCGAAGTTTGAAGAGTGCAGATGAAAGAAGCTGAAAAGGTTAAACCCCTGAATGCTTATTACTTTTACTTATTAATGAGAAATACATAAGTGAATTTGTGACTTTCACGCTGTTTGAAACAGCCTTATTAAAGAGCCATAATTTGTGTGTGTGTGTGCGTGTGCATGTTGGTATGCACCAAAGTTTTATGTGTTCATTTCTTGCATTTGAAGTACTCTTTGATGACATCCTTGGCCTGACACTCCTTGCCAGCGTCCTTAACTTCTACACAACTGCCACCAACCACTTTACAACCACTTTCCCCTCTCTGTCAGTTTCGCAGAGGCCTGCTTATTGCTCTAGTTTCTTGTCATCAACCTTAAGTCGGTTGGTTCGGTGTTCAGCGCAAAAGGCCTCCACCAACTTGACATACACAGGCTCATCACAGTTGGATGCAAGCACACAAAGATGGGCTTGGCACTTGTCTAAGGCTTTGGCAGCTTCAAGAATTCCACATGCTGGGCCATCATGGACGAGGGCGGTCTTCAGCACTTCTTGTAAAGCAGTATTAACTTCCATTATACCTCCAGCAGTAATGCCTTCCTCGGCCATGGCTGTGGCTTACCTGTGAGGCTGAATCTTAAATGCACCTGGGCCTCAACTTCCACGCGACTAGGTGGTGGCAGGGTAAGAAATGGCATAATTTACATATCTTGAAATTTGTTCAACGTAAGTATACAATGATTTCTTGTAAATTTATGGAGTTGTGTAGCAACCACTATTCACTTAAAAATATTTTCATCACTCCAAAAAAGTCCCTGGTGGCTATTTGCAATCACTTACATTCTTACTCTCAGGTCCAGGCAAAAATTGATTTTTTTTTTTTGTCACTATAAGTTTGCCGTTTTCTTAAGGTTTCTTGTAAATGAAATTATACAAGATAGTCTTCTATGTCTGGCTTCTTTCACTTAACATAATGTTTTAGGGTTCATCCATGTTGTAGCATGTATCAATAGCCATTTTTTTATTGCTGAATAGTATTCCACTGTGTAGATAATATCTCACATTTTATTTATCCACTCATTAGTTTATGAACATCTGGATTGTTTCCATCTGGCTATTACACATAATGAACATTCATGTGCAAATTTTGTGTGGGTACATGTTTCCAGTTCTCTCGGATATATATCTAGGAGTGGAATTTCTGGATTAAAGATTCTATATTTACCTTTTTGAGGAACTGCCAAACTGTTTTCCATAGTGCTTGCACTATTTTTGCATTCCCAACCAGCAACGTATGAAATTTCCAATTTCTACACACATCTTAGCAAAAACTTGATATTATCAGTCTTTTTATTATAGCCATTTTAGTAGGTATGTAATAATAGCATGTAGTTTTATTTTGCATTTCCCTAATGATTAATGGTGTTAAGCATTTCTTCTTGAGATTATTAGCCATTTTGTATTTTCTTTGTTAAATGTTTATTCAGATTGGGTGTCATGGTCCACGCCTGTAATCCCAGCACTTTGGGAGGCCAAGGTGGGTGGATCACCTGAGCTCAGGAATTCCAGATCAGCCTGGCTAACATGGTGAAACCTCATCTCTACTAAAAAATACAAAAATTAGCCAGGTGTGGTGGCACATGCCTGTAGTCCCAGCTACTCCAGAGGCTGAGGCAGGAGAATCGCTTGAACCCAGGAGGCAGAGGTTGCTGTGAGCTGAGATTGTGCCACTGCACTCCAGCCTGGGCAACAGAGTAAGACTCTGTTCCAAAAAAAAAGTCTATACGTATCTTTTGCCTCTCTCTCTATATATATACATACATATATATATACACACACATATATATACACATACACACACACACACACACACACATATATATTTGTTTCATTTTGTTTTGTTTTTTGTTTTTTTTTTTAAGAGACATGAGGTCTTGCTCTGTTACCCAGGCTGATCTCAAACTCCTGGGCCCCAGCAATTCTCCCACCTTAGCCTCCCAAAGTGCTGGGATTACAGGCATGAGCTACCACACCCAGCTCTTTTCCCTATTTTTTAGTTGGATAGTTTATCTTCTAGTTATTGAGTTATAAATATCCCTTATGTAGTCTGGATGCAAATAGTTTACCAGATATAGTACTTGCAAATATGTTCTTCCAATTTGTGGCTTGTCTTTTTATTTTTTTAAGACTCTCAGGTTTTGAAATCAGAAAAAAATATAATGGGCTCAATATTATGTGAAAAATTATACTTAATCTCCTAATAATTTTATTCTTTTAAATCTTTAAACACAATACAGACAGAATTTGGAAACTGGAATTACAATTTACTTCCTAGAGGATGAATTATAACACAGGAAAAGCCTTTTATTATAATATATTTTGACATGAGATTAGTGGTTTACAGCTAACTGGCTGAGGAAGAAGAGTCCTGATTTGTAGCATTTTCAATTTCCATGGTATAAATACTCCCCCAGGGACAATTTTAAGGCACTAATGGTTTAACAACCAACTCAAAAAGTTTCTGAACATTTAGCTCTTGACCCTAGAGAGCCAGAAAGAACCAGCTCTAGCATACTACTAAAAATCCATGATTGAAGTGGTAGTAAAAGTCTTAAAGATAAACAAAAGAAGAAGGAAGGGAAGGGATGGGGGAAGGGGGAAGGGAAAAGGAAAGGGAAGGGAAGGGAAGAGGAAAGGGAAGGGAAGGGAGAAGGAAACAGGAGAGGAGGGGAGGGGACGGGAGAGGAGAGGGGAGGGAAGAGGGGAGGAGAGGGGAGAGGAGAGGGGAGAGGGGAGGGGAGGGTAGAGGAGAGGAGGGGAGGAGAGGGGAGGAGAGGGGAGGGGAGAGAAGAGAGGGGAGGGGAGGGGAGGGGAGAGGAGAGGAGAGGAGAGGAGGAAAGAGAGAAGAGAGAAGAGAGAAAAGAAGAGGACACCTGCTTTGGAGGAATTTGCAGATTACCAAGAAAGATATCACTGATCCTTTACATGAAAATGAAAGGAAAATTAGTTTTTAAAAAACCAAGTCAACAGATTATAAAAACACATAAATAAGAAGCTCTACAAAGAATGAAAATGAAAATAAAATCATTCTCTGGAGCAGAAAATGGAAACTATTTTATAACTGTGGTATCACTATCACTAATCCAGGAAACCCACTGAAGGGACTGTGGTGACTATAAGGAGTTCGTTCCATGTTGTTTGTGTGGTGCTGACCGTTCCCATTCACCTCCGGCAGCTAACACACAAGTCTGGCCTATCCCCCTTAAACCTAATATTGGTTCAAGAAAGAGCACATGGACCAATCCCTCCAAAGCCCTCCCTGGAGCTTTTTCTGGAAGAAACAAGAGATCAGTAGGCATTAAGATTATGTAGGCCTGGAGTTGCAGTCTACTCAAGTGATGACTCACTCTTCCCCCACTATTTAGCAGCCATGGGTTTTGGGAGGTGTATTAGTCCATTTTTATGCTGCTGATAAAGACATACCTGAGACTGGGCAATTTACAAAAAAGACATGTAATGGACATACAGTTCCACATGGCTGGGGAAGCCTCACAATCATAGCAGAAGGCAAGGAGGAGCAAGTCACGTCTTACATGGATGGCGGCAGGCAAAAAAGAGAGCTTGTGTAAGGAAACTCCCATTTTTAAAACCATCAGACCTTGTGAGACTCATTCACTACCATGAGAACAGTGCAGGAAAGACCTGCCCCCATAATTCAATCACCTCCCACCGGGTTCCTCCTGTGACATGTGGGAATTGTGGGAGTTGCAATTCAAGATGAGATTTGGGTGGGGACACAGCCAAACATATCATAAGGCATTAAAAAACAATTATACTATCTCCTTCTACAGTGCAAGTCACTCCCCCTAGCTACAGTGATTGGTCCAGAAGTAAGCTAATCAAGGCAAACCACAAGCCTTTCAATCAACCCTTCAGGAACTACATGTTCTCTTCCCCAGGAAATGACCCCCTGGCCTAGCCTGAGGATAAACATAACACATGGGGGATGGCAAGGCCCACAGAATCCCAGAGAAAGATTGATGAGGCCACTCTTGAAGATGGTTCTACATCTTCACTATTTAATTCGCAAACAAATAAATCTCTTTTGTTTAGCCAGTTTAAATTCCATTTTATACTGCAACAAAAGCATTCTATTGGGTTCAATAATCTTTCTACCCTTGTTTTTTTGGTTGTTGTTAACTCTTCTGTCATTTGACAGTGTCAAAACTTTGTAATTTTGTGCTCTTGGCCTTCAACTGTTCACGCATCTTCTTTCTTTTTGTTTTGTTTTTTTTTTTTTTTTTTTTGGCAGGTGGGGTGAGGTGATGGAGTCTTGCTCTGTCACCCAGGCTGGAGTGCAGTGGTGCAATCTAGGCTCACTTCAACCTCCACCTCTCAGATTCAAGCAATTCTCCCACCTCAGCCTCCTGAGTAGCTGGGGTTACAGGCATGCACAATCAGTCCCTACCAATTTTTGTATTTTTAGTAGAGACAGGGTTTCACTGTGTTGGCCAGGCTGCTCTCAAACTCCTGACCTCAAGTGATCCACCTGCCTTGGCCTCCCAAAGTGCTGAGATTACAGGCATGTCACTTGTCTTCTGATCTTTAAAGTCCTCCAGCATATCTGTGGAAGCAAGCATGGAAGGACATGGATGAGAACATGCTGCTATCGATCCACAGTCATCTGTCCTTTCTTCATCAACAATCTGTTTTCATGCAGGCCTGCTCGACCCAGTTTTGGAGTGTTTATCTTTACTCCAACCTTGCCCACCAGCAGAACATTGTATCTGTCAATTACCCCTGATTCCTTATGGAGAACTATGGCACCCTGGGCAAAGAACACCCTGTCTTAAAGCCCAACCCAGGCTCCTGGGACTTGTCCAGACTGAGGTCTTAGCACATACCTATTAAGAGAAAGAATCAAATAGCTGCAACATGACTTTCTACTGATTCTCCTGGCTTTTGTGACCATTCCATTTCAGTTCTTTTCAAAAGCTCTATTGGCAATATCTGCTCCTTAAACATTAGCAATTCCCCAGGTTTAAGTGCCACATAGTAATTCCAGTTTTAATTAAATCCACAGAAATTGAGTGTTCTGTCCAAAATCAGGCTTGGAATTCAACTTTCTAAAGTCCAGGAGAGGATTCAGTTAATTTCTACATCTGGCAGAACAATCTTTAATAGCCTTAATTGGATAAACATCTTGGAAAAGTTTATATTTGTTCCTGGGGGTGATGTTTTTCTTTTTCTTTTTTTTTGTAAAGACAGGGTCTTGCTATGTTACTCAGACCAGTCTTGAACTCCTGGGCTCAAGCCATCCTCCCACTTCAGTCTCTCAAAGTTCTAAGTTTACAGACATGAGCTCCAACCATGCTGAGCCTGGATGTGATGTTTTTAGGCAGAATATTGACATATAAATACATTCTGAATGAAGAATCCAAAAGGCATTATTAGGTGGGGAAAGTAAAGGGACTAAGGATATTCTCTCTTGAGAAGAAAATTCTTAGGAGAGAGCAGACAGCTGTCTCAAATATCTAAATGTCTGGACTGTATAAAAGAAACTGGATTTAGGCCAGGTGCGGTGGCTCACGCCTGTAATCCCAGCACTTTGGGAGGCCAAGGCAGGTGGAACACCTGAGGTCAGAAGTTCAAGACCAGCCTGGCCAACATGGTGAAACCCCGTCTCTACTAAAAATACAAGCAGGGTGTAGTGGCGGGCACTTGTAATCCCTGAGGCAGGAGAATCGCTTGAACCCAGGAGGCGGAGGTTGCAGTGAGCCAAGATTGTGCCATTGACCTCCAGCTTGGGTAACAAAGGGAGACTGTCTCCAAAAAAAAAAAGAAAGAAACTAGATTTATTTCATGCTCCTCATGAGGAGGATTGGGAGCAAGGATCGAAAGCAGCAATCAACTCAATTTGGATTAAATGTATAATAAATAAGATTTTTCTTCCTTCTTCTTTTTTTTTGTTTTGTTTTGGTTTTTTTCAGACAGATTCTTGCTCTCTTGCCCAGGCTGGAGTGCAGTGGCATGATCATGGTCCGCAGCAGCCTCAACCTCCTGAGCTCAAGCAGCCTTCCCACCTCAACTTCCTTAATAACTGGGTCCACAGGTACACACCACCATGCCCAGCTAATTTATTTATTTATTTTTATTTTTATTTTTTATAGAGATGGAGTCTTGCTGTGTTGCCCAGGCTGGTCTTGAACTCCGGTGCTCAAGGGATCCTCCCACCTCAGCTTCCCAAAGTGCTGGGATTACAAGCAAGAGCCACTGTGCCTGGCCTTGAGATTTTTCAATAATTTGAATTGTTCCCAAATATAACAGATTGATTTGTGAGGTGGTGAACTCACGTCTGTAAAAAATGTCAAGCAGCATTTAGATGCCAACCTATCAGGGATGCTAGAGATACACACTTCCAACTGGAAGTGGCTTTTAAGATCCCAGATATTTTTTAAATTCTAGAATGTGTCTCAAATGAAATGCAATTTGTAAAATCCTAACTGGCGCTTCTCAAACTTTAGTGTGCATAAAATCACCTAGAAAACTGGTTAAAACACACATTCAGGGCCCCACCCCTCAGATATTCTGATTCATTAAGTCTGAGGTGAGCCCCAAAATTTGCTTTTCTAATAAGCTCGCAAATGATGCTGATTCTGTTGGTCCAGGAACTATGCTTTGAATAGCCCTGCAAATCGTAATTTTTTATTCGATATTTGTAAAGAGATGAAAGAAAATTAAAAGGCTTGGCAAGCAAAAAGAAATGAAAAGTAATGTGTACTCGGTGTTCATATAGGAAATAAAACAGTGTAATGACTACTTCGAAGGAAAAAAATTCTTCCAAAACGTAGGCCACATCTACCCAACAGTATGCAAACATTTGGAGAGGAAATTAATTGGTACATATGGCTGTAGGTGTTCATTTCTAACTAAACTAAACAGTCCATCAAAGCCTTTCTTTCAGACATTTAATTAAGTAATTCTGAGGAGATTATGTCATTTAAATATTTCTTGTCTGGGGGTCAGGGACCCACTTAGGTTCAGGTATCTCTTCTGCTCATCTCTAAATCCTTGTTTAGCAACTCCACCCAGACCATTAACAAAATCCAGGGTAAGCTTGTCAGTTAGGAGTAAAGGAGAGCTGTTTGGGACAAATAGTATAATTCAGTTTGTAAATGTCTTTACCCTTGAAGTGGAGATCTGGGCAATCATCTTAAAACGATAAGCTCCCTAATGGCAAGTTCAAAGGAAATCTTTATCCATCCCTCAAGGCTCATCTTAAATTGCACTCCCTCATTAATTCTTTCCTGATTCCATCAACAGACTGTAAGCACCAAATCCTTATCTCACTGGCAGATCTCTTAAGATATAACCTACTAATTCCGAACTGTAATGTTATTTGTTGTATTAGTGTGGATCCAATCACACAGTGGGTTACATAGAAGAAGTATAATATAAAGAATTATTAAACTCTGATAAATGAATATACAGAAAAAAGGACAGTAAAGGAAAACTATAAGGAACCCTAGGGCTGAATAAGAGTATCAAGGAAGAACAAAGTTGTAAGGGGGCCCCCTCCCCAGACCTGGGGTTCAGACCTCATTGGAGAAGGTATAGTTTAGCCTGATAACTGAAACAGAAAAGTTCACTGGTTTGCATTAGCCCGAGCTGGTCTGGGGTCACTAGGAGAGCAGGAAGCATCCCTCCAGAGTGCAGCCAGAGCTCAGCAGATCAGAAGCCAGATGCATGGTTATACACAGGTGGTGGGAATCCAGGGAGCAGGCAAGCCACAGAGCCCAAATAAAGAGTAATGTCTCAGGGGAAAACTCTCAGGCTGTTGACAATCCACATGCAGGCTTGCACAGGGAATTGGGGCATTCATGTGTTCAGGAAGACTTTGGGACACCAGTTTCCATGCCAAGGGGTCCATGGGAAGCTTATTGCCAGGATAGGCTGAAACTACAAGGTTACCTAGTGACTGCATATTCTAGGAATGTGGCCAAAACAGAGTTCCACCAAATGTCTTCAAACCCACTCCACCAACTTGCCATGAGCAGCCAGAAACAGCAGGAGACATCTTTCCAACAGCCTCTACTAAGAAAACTTAGCATTATGCTCACTGTAAGGAGGAGACACTTAAAAGAATTCTGCCTATTATCAAAGGGCATATATTGTGGAGTGAATCTGGAGCTGAGAGGCAATAAACTGATGGTTGACATGTATGTGTTATTACAAGATTGTTGATTCTTTTAGGATTAAAGACTGGATTTCATCTCTGTAGTCTCCGTGGTACCTAGGTCGTCTTATAACAAACTATTCCTCAGTAAATATTGAGAACTCCTGGCTTTTTTTTTTTCAGAAACTGATAAGCTGATCCTAAAATTTATATGGAAATGTAATGGACCCAACATAGCCAAAGCAACATTTGAAAAAACAAAGTTTGAGGACTTGCATTTTCTGACATCAAAACTTACTACAAAGCTACATTAATCAAGACAATATGGGACTGGCATAAGGGTAGAAATATAGATAAGTAGAAAAGAACGGAGATCCCAGGAATAAATCATTAAATTTATGGTTAATTGATTTTTTAACATAGGTGCCAAGACAGTTCAATGGAGGAGGAATATATTTTCAACAAATAATGCCAGAACAACTCTCTACCCATATGCAAAAGAATGAATTTGAACCCCTATATCATACCATACACAAAAATTCAGGCTAAATGGATCATATATCTAAATGGAAGAGTGAAAACTATAAAACTCTTAGAAGAAGAGATTGGAGTAAATCTTTATGACTTTACATTAGGCAGTGGTACCTTAGCTATAACATCAAAATTCAAAATCTTTGTGCCTTAAAGGACATCATCAAGAATATAAAATGACAGCCCACAAATGAGAGAAAATATTTATATATCTGATAAGGGATTTATATCCAGTGCTTCTACAAATCAATAGTTTAAAAATAAAATTACCCAATTTTTAAAATAAGCAAAGGATTTGAATTGATATTCTCCAAAGAAGATATATAAATTATCAATAAGCACATAAAAAGAGGCTCCAAATCGTTAGTCATTAGGGAAATGTATGTCAAAACCTCAGTGACTTACCACTTCATACCTATAGGATGGCTATAATAATAAAAAAAAAACACTAACAATTTTTAAAGGAAAATATGGAAAAGTTGGAACCCTCATGCATTGCTGGTGGGAATGTAAAATAGTAAAGTCACTTTGCAAAACAGCCTCGTAGTTTCTCAAAATGTTGACCATAGCATTACCATATGACCCACCAACTCTACCCTTAGGCAGATACACCAAGAGAATCAGAAAGCTTATGTTGACATAAAAATTTATACGTGACTATTTATAGCAGTATTAGTCACAATAGGCAAAAAGTGAAAACCACTCAAATGTCCATTAACTGATGAATGGCCAAACAAACTGTTGTGTATCCATATACTGGAATACTTTTTTATATGACCATTAAAATAAATTAAGTACAGATACATAGTACGACATGGATAAATCTTGAAAACATTATTGTAAGTGAAAAAAGCCACACACAAAAGGCTACATATTGTATAATTCCATCTATATCAAATGTTCAAAATAGGCAAATCCATAAAAACAGAGCAGAATAGTGGTTGCCAGGGACTGGGGAAAAGGGGGAAAATGGTGAATGACTCCCGGTGGATATGGGGTTTTGAGAGAGAGAGATAAAAATATTCTGGAAATAGAAGTAGCCAAGCATGGGGGCTCACACCTGTAATCCCAACACTTTGGGAGGGTGAGGCAGGTGCATCACTTGAGTACAGGAGTTCGAGACCAGCTTGTGCTACATGGCAAAACCCCCATCTCTACAAAAAGTCAAAAAATTAGCTGGGCATGGTGTCATGCACCTATAGTCCTAGCTACCAAGAAGGCTGAGATGGAAGGATCATTTGAGCCCAGGAGGTTGAGGCTGCAGCAAGATGTGATCACACCACTGTACTACGCCTGGACAACAAAGTGAGACCTTGTCTCAAAAAAAAAAAAAAGAGGTAATGAATGATATCTGAACAATATAGTGCACATACTAAAAATTATTGAACTGTGCACTCTACAAGGGCATTTTACAGTATGTACTCAGTTCTGAATTATATCTGAACTAAACTGTTAGTTAAAACATTGAGAACTAAGATTTTGATATTTGCTTCCATTTTCTTCTTCCCTTCCCAAGTATGTAGTCACATCCAGAGAACCTGTATAGAAAAGAATAAAACCTTCTTTTCTTGGAACAATTAGAACAAATAGAAAATTGGAATGTAATAATCATTGATGTCAAGTTTCATATATCCTTATAAAAATACCTAATTATAATTTTTGGTTGTCATGAATTTTGAAAACTCATTAAAATAAGTGACACAGATGCTACGGCACTAAATAACCAATGGAGTAGAAGACTTGACCAAGCCACCTCGTCTCTCCCTGGGCTTCCAAGTCCTCAACTATGAAATAGGAAAGTTAGGAGAGATGACCTTCAGTATCTGTATGCTTCTATTATTTGTTCTAGAAAATTAGCTTTAAAATCAAAATTTCAAAGACCTTCAATGTTTACAAATTAAATACATAGTAATAAGAATTATTTTCTGCCAGAGACAGTTCTTATTAACTGTGGGTGCAACTGTATATTCTGCTTTTCTTTTTCTCTTGATAGAGCTCATGTCTTTTTATCACTAGGTTAAAATATATAATTCTGTGTGTGTAGAAAATATCATTATATTTGAATTTTTACATGTTCTTTGAAGGAATTCTTTACCCACTTAACAATTTAGGCCTTCTAATTCTATACATACTTGTACATACTTTGATTACAGAGATTTCATTTTTCTCCACGTAAAGTTAAAATACAGGCAGCTAAAAAAAGCCTGTGCTATTTCTGCCAGCCCTCTCCTGGGACTCTGCTCCCTAGTTAGGCAGTTATTTAAAATTGAGCGATTATACTGTCTTTTTCTGATAGTTACAATTTTTAAAACTTAACTTTTCTTTAAAAAAAAAAACAGAGAATAAAGCAAACTGCATTCAACTGGTCAGTGTGCTCCCTGGAAACCCAGCAGATACTTTTCTGTCTATATTTGGATTTAAGTGTATATTTAGACTCTTTATCCCAGAGAGCTCAGTGATTTGCACTCTGAAAGCATGTGCTCTTCTGTTAGTCATTTTAAGAAACTTTTTTTTTGCCTTCCCACTTTAAAAAAAAAAGGATGAAGGGCAAAGAAAAAAAGGAAACAAAAAGAAAAGAAAGAAAGAATTTGATTAAAGCAGAAAGAAAGAATTTGATTAAAGCAGGAAGAAAGAATAACAAGAAAAAACCATGGCAAATCAAGTTCCTCAAGTCTGTTCTATCCATTCATCTGCTCTCTACAAGAGGAGATCCTGTTGTTCATGGCCTGTTCACCAAAGCCCACCCTGCTTCTCCTCTGTGTACCCACGGCATGTTACTTAATGCTTACTTTTATTCTGCTGTGCATTATATTAGTTACTTAAATGTCTGTGTCCCTGACTAGAACTGGATTTCCTTGAGTACTGAGTCAGACTGCCACTGAGTCACACTGAATACAAATCTAGTCATTTCTCGAATTAAAACTCTCTATAGTCTCCTAAAATGCGGAGGGATGTATACTCCTTGAACAGTCCCTTGTACAATGATTTCATAAAGTAGGATCTCAATACAATGTGTTGAATTAAATTTGCTTGTGAGATCATTCAGTGTAAACCATATGAAATGTTCATTTCCTCAGGTCAAAAACTGGCAAGAATTCTATTACTCTGGCATAAAGGAATTTCAGACACCCGCTGTTTGGTGTTGCCTTCCCCCTTCCTTGTAAATGAGCTCTCTTATCATGCACCTCACATTCAAGGGATTTTGTCAACATTTCATATGGCTCATTGTAATAATTTTCACTGAAGAGTTTTAAATTTATAGAGGTATATTAATTGTAAAAGGACTATTTGAAATTAATTTCTTTCTGTCTCTTACAGATTTGATAATAAGGAGCACAACAGGGGCCAGGAATTTGTTTATAGAACATAAAGGGAGCAATAGTTTTTAGTCTTTTAGGGTGAATCTGACAGAAAACATGGACACACTTCCCAGAAAAATGCTCACATGTACACTCTCACCATTTTGCATATGATTCCAGCAGATTAGTAGATCCTTTCATCTCCTCCAATCAATTAATAACTTCTCTTGTAGAAGACTATATTCAGAAGATGAAAGAAGTGTTGAGCAATGGTTCAGTAATTCCAGCTGAACTTCAGTTTTAGAACAAGAAAAAAAGTAGTCTCTTTTCGAATCGACCCAGTCCACAATTCACCAGATGGTTGCCTCTCTTTGCCTATATAAACACAGTTAAACAGGAAATGCACATAATATATTACCCAAATTGAGACACTATTGAGGGTGAAAGAGGTACTGACAATAATTACAGCAAGACAACAAAACTATGATCCATATAACTATGATCTATATATATCATTAAATATTTGGAGAGTTTATTTTTTAAATGTATCAGATCCCTATTGTCTAGATGACTGTCCCATTTTTCTGCTTTCCTTAAGGGGCTAATACCCATTATCATAATTAGCCCATAAAAAGCAATGATCAAATTCATGGCTTTTTCTTCCTTTTGTACTTCAACTTGGAGTAAGTCAGTTAAACTTTACAGGGCTCAGCCTCCTACCAATAAATGCACAGGTGGAATACATGTGCTCTTAAGGTTTTTTTCAAGCTCCACCGTCCTATACATTCAATTTGAAAATGAAGATTTTTTATCAGAAATCTGCTAGGTAAAAAGGTTTCTAGGCCACCTACTTAGAAAAAAAGACCTTCAAAATCACAGTGTTTTTGTAAAAAGCAAATAAACTTAATTGATTAAAAGTCCCTAATAGTTTATAATCAAGCTTATAATCTACAATATAGTCTGTAACTTTGAAGTGTAAATGTAACTATGTTAATTAATCAGATTATGTATTTTTTCATGTAATTACCACAATAAGGTAGATACCTTAGTCTCATTCTACAGACAAGAAAAACAAACTTAGAAACTTGACTGAGGTTACACTGATGATAAATGACAAAATCAAAGTTAAAAGCCCATCTGACTGCACAGCTTGGACACTTCACTGCTGAACTTAAAGCTCATGAATTTACCAAGTACCACCCCTGCTTTAAACTTAGCTATCAGTCTACTATAGCCCCAACATATTCAAAAATACCATATTTCCTAGACATTATAAAAGCTATCTCTTACACAATCACTTAATTGCCTATCACAGTAAGTGATAATGGTCACACTCTGGGTTTAAATAGAGCAGAAAAGTGTATTCAATATTTGTTAGTACATATTAAAAATACCAAGTCGGCTGAGACCAATTATCTAAGGAACAGTTCATAATGAACCACCCTCAAATATGAAACAGCTCTAATTGTGAGAGCTATGACTCCATCTGAAATAATTTTTTAAATGACAACCCCAAAACTATACTCTGCATTTTTACATGTGATACATAAAAACCAGCTGCTATCAAGACTTTTTAAATCTTAAAATATAATTTTTAATATGTATATATAAAACATGTATATGTAAAACTGTCAATTGCTCTCAGCATTGAGAAGATACATTAGCACAACATATGGCTACCACTACTGCTACTTTAAAAGACACTACCTTATGTTATATAAATACTACCTTGGAGACAGTCATAGGCCTTTATGGATTTTTAAACCTAACTAATGTTAGGTTTAAATGTTTTAACCTTGAAACCTAATATTTTAAGTTAGCACACAAGATTATAATGCAGATTTTCCTTGAGATATATGGAAAAGTTAAGCAAAACTTGGAAAAGGATATTTCATTAAATAACCAAAGTGAACCACTTCACCAACTTAAATAATAATTACTGAAGACTGTGCCATTCTATATGTTCAGGACTACGCAGCGACAGGTTAACAAACAATCCTAGGGTTTCTACCTGAAATTGCCCTCCTGTCCTTACATGAAGCAGCTAATTTTCTGGGACAAGGCAGAATGAAGATGTTCTTTCAGAATATAAATCCTTGAAGACCATAAAGATGTTCCATTAACTTATTTTGACATTTTCTCAACTCCAAAACATGTATTCTTTTTGTAAATGCTGTATCGTTTCAATTAAATTTTAAGCACCTGTGAGCAAGGAGAATCTAAACAAATATGCTTTGCTAGCTAGCAAAAAAAAGCAAAAATAATAATAGTGGAAGATGGAAATGTTAAATTCGTCAATATTTTTGGTGATCTGAAAACTATACACCTTAGGAAATTATCTAGAAAATAACATGTATTTTGTCGCTTTCATCTAGAATGTAACTTCACATCACATAAATCATAATACTAATGAAAATTATAACAAATTCATTTTCCTCCCCCACAATAAAAGTAGTATAAACTTCCACTGAGAGATCATTGGATTTAAATCAAATTGCATAATCAAAATTAAAAACAATAAACACTTGCACAAAAATGTGTCTCATGGAAAACCGAAACTGGAGATAAATTGTCTTGTAAAATGCATTAAAATACAAGTCCAAAACCACAGGCAATCTTTAACACAAGCCTGAAATCCTATTAAATCAAAGGCAAAACTTGAAGGTCATTTTAGCACCACCATTCAAAAACTTACACCGGCTGGGTACAGGAAAAACAGAGGGAGGTTTCTTCAAAACCACCTACACAGTGGCTGTTTTCCTGCTCCCAGGTCTGTCAGTGGAGACCAGCTTCCTGCTCAAGCACAAGGAGCACACGGTGCATATGGAAAACCGTGGAGTCAGCCAAATTCCCACCCACACCAGCTCCTCTCCTCAGCCGGGCCCTTACAAGCCACAGAAACTGATCAACTCAATGTGATGGAAAGAAGAAACCCAGGACACATTTCTTTTGTAAATGGAAATATTTAGGTACATTGCAGAGACTCAGACAACCCACAGAGGGGTTGAATGAAGTATCATGAGTTTTAGAAAGCAAAGACTGAAAAGGTACATTTCATTACAAAAGCGACTTGAGGAATAAAGCAATAGAGCTCCCTTAACTATAAATGGAGAAAGGAGCAAAAGATATTGAGAAGTGGTCACACCAAGGAAACTAATATAAGAAATAAAATCCATTTCAGAGGAGCTAGGAAAGGAAGAAAAATAAATAATTGAGTGATATAAAAAAAACTGGCTCTCCAAAACCATTAGTAAATGAATTACTATAGAATGCAGAGTTTTCTGGAGAGCTGGGAGTTTATCCTTTAACTCATATTTAAAACACATTTAAAACAAATTTAACCAAATTTAATCTAATGCAGATCTTTCTAAAATCAATTACACATCATTGCTTTGACTTCTTAAATGTGATTTTTTTTTTTTTAAACAGTCTCTTTCCGTTACCTAGGCTGGAGTACAGTGGCACAATCTCAGCTCATTGCAGCCTCCATCTCCTGGGTTCAAACAATTCTCCTGCCTCAGCCTCCTGAGTAGCTGGGATTATAGGCGTGTGCCACCATGCCCAGCTAATTTTTGTATTTTTAGTAGAGAAAGGGTTTTGCCATGTTGGCCAGGCTGGTCTCGAACTCCTGACCTCAGGTGATCCACCCACCTCAGCCTCCCAATGTGCTGGGATTACAGGCATGAGCCACTGTGCCCAGCCAAATGTGATTATTCTTAAAGGGTCATGAAAGGAAGCACTGTGCAATGATTTACAAACTCTGGCCTGAGCACAGGTGCTTGGCTGACCCATAAGAATCACCTGGGAAACTTCATAAAAATACAAAGAACAGGAATGAAGCCCAGAAATCTGTGCTTTTTAAAACCTTCCCTGGTAATTCTGACTCATGGCTAGTTTCAGGAATGGGGAGTATAAGGGGAAGAACACTTGTCTGACTGTTAGTATTTAGGCAGTGTTACTTCGATAGCTATGAATGCATTCGACACACATTTATTGAGCACCTAATATATCCTAATGTTGAGCACTGTCTTAGTTCATTCAGGCTGCTATAACGAATACAATAGACTAGATGGCTTATAGACAACAGGCATTTATTTCTCATAGTTCTGGAGGCTGGGAAGTCTAAGATCAAGGGACTGGCACATTCAGTGTCTGGTTGGGCCTGCTTCTTGGTTCATAGGCAGTCATCTTCTCATTGTGTCCTCATGGGGTGGAAGGGGCAAAGGAGTTCTCTGGTCTCTCTTTTATAAGGTCACAGATCCCACTTATGAGAACTCTGCACCCATGAACTAATCACCTCCCAAAGTCCCCACCTCCAAATATCATCACACTGGGGATTAGGTGTCAACATTTGAATTTTGGGAGTACACGAACATTCAGTCTATAGCAAGCACCTAAGATAGGCTTTGGCATACAAAGATTAATAAAATATGGTCTGCCAAAGAGTCTACATTCAAATAATGGGGCCAAATACATTAAAGTACAATGAGGTAAAAATATAATAGGATGTAATGAAAATCTATCCTGGAGAGTGAAAGAGCTCCTAACTTAGCCTCGGTTTCCTGGAGGAGACATCTGAGATGAGTCCCAAAGTTTGAGATATTAGTCAAGTGAATTTGAAGAGAGAATGAGGAGGAAGAAGGGGCAATGTTCTGAGTCCCCCTACATTATACATATAATATCAGTAGTTGATGGTAGAAAGTGGGAAATGGATGGGTAAGAGTTTGAAGTTTAGTTTGCAGGCAGTGGACAGCTATTGTAGTATACAGTCAATGAGATCAGATTTACATTTCAGTCAGATGACTTTGGCCAGATAAGTGGAATATAGATTTAAGAAGATAAGAAATGGAAATAGAAAAAAGAAAGAAATGGAAGGAGAAGAATGAGTTAGGAACCCATGGAACAATTTCAGGCAAGAGTTATTGAAGGTCTGATAAAAAGCAGTGAAAACTGAGATGGAAAGGGGAAGATAAATTTGAGAAAAATGGAGGCAAAAAGACAAAGTGATTGATTCGAAGAGGAAAAGACATGGAAGGGGTAGAAAAGGTGAGGGAGAGAGAAATAAAGGAGTCAAGGATGACACCCTCAGACCATGTTAGGCAAGACATTTACTATTTCTAAGTGTCATTAATAAAATGTGTACCCTAGATGACCTCCAACATACTTTAAGTCTAAATGTCTATGCATCATTATTATATTGATTATTATATTATTCATTTGTGTCTTCAAAATCTTTTAGAGCTTGCCCTTACACTAAGGGGCTCCTGGATATTTGAAATTCAGGTATCTGCTTTCTCGAGTATTGTTATGTTCTCTCTTGATATGATGTGTAAATGGAACTTGTCAGCAGTAACAGTAGCTGCTGACAGCATACCTGCCTATAGCAGTCTTCTCTTCTAAATGTGCTATTTCTGTATATTGTAGGTATGGAAGGAAGTTAGAGAACTGAGTAATCTCCCTCTCTTCTGAGCTATATGCTCCTTCATTTGTAACTCCCTCTGAGACTTTCTTTATTCTACATTGTTTTACTCTTAGTTGTGTACATGCTTTATATGTCCTATTTGGGCTTAAGCCCCTGAGAACAAGAAGCGTTTCTTAATGTTCTTTGTGCCGCTTCATATAAATTGTCCCCTACAGTGCCTTGCATACAGAACTTAAACAATGCATAGGTGTCTCTTTTGCACCAAGATTGTCAGAATTGTTAATAGATTATGAATAAACTGACTGGGTGAGGACCCAAAAAGCATTTTTTTTCTGAGTAGATAAACTACAATGCTCAAGGCAGTTCAAAAGTCATTCAGAAAGCCTTTTGCTTAGTTTCTTGTTCTTAACTGTGTTCTAGATAGATAAAGTTATTAAGAGACAGAGATATGGAACAGCAAAATATTAAAGGAGGAAAAACTTAAGATGACTCAAGTACAATTTGAGAAAAAGGCAACTATCATGGAAAGTAAATATAAGAAGTCATCTAGTTTTTAATTAAATGGATTTTGATAAATCTATGTAAGAGTCAAATGTGTACATTGTCAGAGAGCTAAAAACTATAACATCCTTTAGGTAATCTTATAAGTGTAATTGGAAAACACATGTCTAGCAGTTTGTATCAACTCTTTAAGTTTATTATCTTACCTGACAAACCACACAGATAAGAAAGTTAAAGCTAAACAGTGTGTTGCTCATTCCAAAATTGTGCCATTAGAGACATCCCTAAGGATTTGACCTTTGTTCAACTGTCATTAAGATTATGAAGCCTATACCTCTTACATATGTTTCAATAGAATCATTTTTATAGCACATTGCTTTTTATATCTGTAAAATTTATGACGAAATTTGGTTGGGCGCAGTGGTTCATGCCTGTAATTCTAGCATTTTGGGAGACTGAGGTGGCCAGATTGCTTGGACTTAGGAGTTTGAGACCAGCTTGGGCAACATGGCAAAGCCCCATCTCTACAAAAAATACAAAAAATTAGCCAGGTGTGGTAGTGGACGTCTGTTGTCCCAGTTTCTCTGGAGGCTGTGGCGGGAGGATGGCTTGAGCCCAGGAGGCAGAGGTTGCAGTAAGCTGAGATCGTGCCACTGCACACCACCCTGGGTAACAGAGCCAAACCCTGTGCCCCGCCCCCCACAAAAAAAAAGCTTATGACAAAATTTAATTAAATAGTTACATTGTCGCTATTCAGAAAAAGAAGGCAAGGAGGCCAAAACTGAGCAATTTACCAGCTTCCTGTAATGGCTCAGAATAATTATTCTCCAGCTCCTGAACACCATAGTACACATTTTATTTGGGAGTGTCAATGATGTGGAAAGGTCCAAGTTTGACAAAATTTCAGAAATTAAGAATTAAGGACTGTCTATAATTTAAATATTTAAGAAGACAAGAAATCATTCACTTTTGATTTTGTTTTTCAGTTTCTAATGGGTTGCAGAAGCAGGCGGGAGCTGATTACTATTCACAGATGGCCTAAAGTTTATGTCTCTAGTGTCCTCAGGTTTCCCCATTCCCTACCTAAGTTCTGTCCTTCATGAGGTCTGAAAAAGGGCTGAGAAATCACAGGCTAATACCATATTGCTCTTTCTCTATATTGATCAAAGTTTGGCAAACATCTTTTTGCACTTAGTTTACTTAAGACAATATTAGACTTTTCCCAAGATATTTTCAATTAGAAATTAAGCAGAGCAGGAGTCTTCAAAATAAGCATAGAGATGGGATGAGTTTTACAGGGTAAGGACTTTCGATCCAAACCTAATTAAAATTTAGTTATAGGTGAATCAGCTCTCACATTGATTATGTTCCAACTACATACTGGGCACTTTGTAAAACACAGGGATAGTAGTAGATCTCCCATCCAGAAACCTGTAGTCTAACTGGAGAGAGAAGCACATAAACAAAGGAGCTGCTATGATGTGGTAAATGCTAGGACAGACGTATGCACGTATTATTGAAACTTGCCTTCTTTGTCTTTTACACCTAGACCAGAATTGGCAAATGCATGTGTCTTAGTCCATTCGTGCTGCTATAACAAAATATCTGAGACTGGGTAATTCATAAATAATAGAAATTTATATCTCACCGTTCTTGAGGTGAGAAAGTCTGCTATTGTTTGGATGTTTGTCCCTTCCGAATCTCATGTTGAAATGTAATCCCCAATGTTGGAGGTGGGGCCTGGGGGGAGGTGATTGGATCATAGGGGTGGATTCCTCATGAATGACTTAGCACCATCGCTGTGGTGACGAGTGAGTTCTCACTCGGTTCACATGAGATCTGGTTGCTTAATAGAATCTGGAACCTCCGCCTTTTCTCTTTTGCCTCTGCTTTCACCATCTGATGTGCCTGCTCCCCCTTTGCCTTCCACCATGATGATGAGGCCCCCACCCAGAGCAAATGCCAGTGCCATGCTTCCTGTACAGCCCACAGAACCAATTAAATCTCTTTCTTTAGAAATTACCTGGCCTCAGGTATTTCTTTATAGAGGTGCAAAAATGGACCAACAAAAATCCAAGATCAAGGAATTGGCAAATTCGTTGTCTTGTGAGGATGCAGTCTCTGCTTCCAAGGTAGCACCTTTAACACTGTGTCCTCATTTGGCAGAAGGAAGAAGGGCAAAGGGGGATGAACACTATGTCCTCACATGGTGGAAGAGCGGAAGAGAAGAAATCCACTCCCTCAAGCCCTTTTATAAGAGCCTAATCTCATCCACAAGAGCTCTGCCCTCATGACTTAATCACTTCCTAAAGGCCCTACCTCTTAACACTGTCACATTGGCCAAAAGTTTCACGAATTTTAGAGGACACATTCAGGCCACAGCAACATGACACTGTGCCATCACTCATATCTCCTATTCCATAGCAGTCATTCTTTCCCAGTAAATTTTCACAAGCCTTCTTGTGAAAATACAGTGTGCCACGCAGTTGCTACCAGTAACTGGAACGTGAGATGAAACCCATCTGCCTCTCCGTATCTAGGCTTACATCTGCTAGTACCGTATTGGCAGATACTATTTGGGGTCTGATTTCTTGCCCAGCTGGAGATACATACAGAATTCTTTAATTTCTGTTTCAGCTTTTTGCATTCCCTTTTAAGTCAACCACTAAGTTATTTACCATGTGAGGAAACCCAAGATCCAAGCTCATTTGCAGAGCATAGATAACAGATTTCCCATATGCAATGAAAAAGCTAAGCATACCTCATGCTATCAGCTCCATTCACGTAATATTAATGCTAACTAATATGTTTTGAGTATAAACTTAGATGCCATAATACCCGTTATTTTGCAAATAAAAAAACTGAGGATTAGAAAGAGCCAGGATTGGAATCTAGCGGCAGTCAAGGCTCAAGTTTTAGAATTGTTAACTGCTAGAGTGTTCCACCTTACTTCTCCAGATCCTGGAGAAGTGCAGCATTCCTTCCAGAATTTCTTGATTCTCTTCATATATACCATTTTTAAAAACTCATTGAAGGTCAGGTGTGGGGGCTCACGCCTAAAATTTCAGCACTTTGGGAGGCTAAGGCAGGCAGATAGCTTGAGCTCAAGAGTTGGAGACCAGCCTGGACGACATAGTGAGACTCCATCTCCATCGAAAGTACAAACAATTAGCTGGGCATGGTGGCACCTGCCTGTAGTCCCAAGTACTCAAGAAGCTGAGGCATGAGAATTGCTTGAGCCTGGGAGGCAGAGGTTGCAGTGAGCTGAGATTGCACTGCTGCACTCCAGCCTGAGTGACAGAGTGAGACCCTATTTCAACTTAAAAACAACTCAGTGAGAGTAATAGGCTTAGCCAGGAAAACACATACAGGACAGCAAATTTAGAAAAAATATTAACAACTGGACATTCCAGGTGAACACCCTGTGAATGTTCACTGTACTATTGCAACCTTTCTTAAGGTGTGAATTTTTTCAGAATAAAAATGTGGAGGCAAAAATGTAATAGACCTAATTTTCACTGAGTAAAGAGGGTTTTTCTCATTGCAGAGTGTTAAAATAATAGATACCTTGGAATTATAATAGGACAACTTATATGTATATCAAAACATTTTAAAGATCTTTGGGGAGGTGTTGGCAAAAATAACCTTAGATAATTTAATTATGATGATTAAGACACAGCATAAGAAAAATTCCTTCTATCCTTTCACTTTTGAGAATTAGTATCTCCAATCAGAACAACTTGACTAATTGGAATAAATGAAAAGAACAGCAGCCAAGGCACTCAGGTTAGATCTAGAAGAAAAGTCAGATAGAAATCATAGATTTTTTTTTCTTTTCTTTCTTTTTTTTTTTTTTTTTTTTTGAGATGGAGTCTTGCTCTGTCGCCCAGCCTGGAGTGCCACGGTGCGATCTCCGCTCACTGCAAGCTCCGCCTCCCGGGTTCACGCCATTCTCCTGCCTCAGCCTCCCGAGTAGCTGGGACTACAGGCGTGCATCACCACGCCCGGCTAATTTTTTTGCATTTTTAGTAGAGACAGGGTTTCACTGTGCTAGCCAGGATGGTCTCGATCTCCTGACCTCATGATCTGCCCGCCTCGGCCTCCCAAAGTGCTGAGATTACAGGCGTGAGCCACCGCCCCAGGCTGAAATCATAGAATTTTAAAGGAGAGAGAGATTTTTCAAATTGTCTGGTTCAGCCTGCTCATTTTACTCACTATGAAATTCAATAGCAGAAATTTTAAATAAACTGCACAAATTTCTGCAGCCTGAGAGTGGCAGAACTAGCCATTTCTCCTGTATCCCAGTTTAGAGTTTATATCATTCTGATTCCTTTAGTAAGTGATGAAGAGCTAACTCAACATGGCTTATGGAAAAAAATTGGGGACAACATTATGGTGATAGATTTATGGGTTAACATAACTGAGAAAAGCATACAGGTGTAGCTCTAATATTTGGAGTAGCTAGCTAAAAATATTCATCTCTCAATCATGTATTCTGCTGGGCTGACTTCATTCTTATGCCCTATATGGTTGTCCTCCTGCAGTTCCAAGCTCATACCATCACAGGCCAATCCTGTAGACAATACTTTTCTTATAATACAAACAAAAGTCCCCAAATTGAGTTTTATTGGCCCTGATTGGCCTGACTTGTGCCTATTCTTGAACCAATCACAGTGGCCATGGGAGGTGGGGAGAGTAAAATGAATTTAATTTACTTAGTAAAAGCCATATTCTCCATTCCAATCACAGACTGGGAGTGGGAGACTGGTCAATAAGAAAAGCTGGGGTATTGTTAACAAAGGAGTAGGTACACCTTACTGCTCATCTGTGAATAATAAATGTGCTTTGCCTAAAAGAAAAAAGTAGGTACAGATAACAATAGCAAAACCCAACATTTATCCATAAATAACAGTAAAAAGAATAAAGTATAAGAGAAGACAAAATCACTTTTAAAAAAAGTTTGAGGCCAGGCATGGTGGCTCACGCCTGTAATCCCAGCACTTTGGGAGGCTGAGGCAGGCGGATCACGAGGTCAGGAGTTCAATACCAGCCTGGCCAACACAGTGAAACCCCATCTCGACTAAAAATACAAAAATTAGCTGGGCGTGGTGGTGGGCGCCTGTAGTCTCAGCTACTCGGGAGGCTGAGGCAGGAGAATCGCTTGAACTAGGGAGGCGGAGGTTGCAGTGAGCCGAGATGGTACCACTGCACTCTAGCCTGAGCAACACAACTAGACTCTGTCTCTAAAAAATAAAAAATAAAAAAATAAAAAATTGAAAGGACTGTCACCAAAAATAATAATAATAATAATTAATTCGTTCTTTTGTACTTCAGAAATGAATTAGGACCAAGAGGCAGAGGAGATAAGGATATAGATTCAAGTCAGGAGATGCAATAAACTTTCTAACAATTAGTATTAGTTATTTGGTAATTGAATAGGCAGTATCATGAAGTAATGAGTTTCCCATAGTTGGAGGCCTTCAAGCAGAAGAAGGGTGACCATCTACCAGAAATGTTATAGAAGGGATCCTACATTGGGTGATAGCTTGCTATAAACTGCCTCTGAGATTCCTTCCAACTCTAAGATTCTAAATTATTGAGAACAACATGAATAAAAGATCCAAACTCATTCAAGAACTAAATAATTCAACAAAAGGTAATATAACTTTCATCTATGAAGTTGAATCAACCAGACTTTGGGTGCCAGCAATCCCATTTTACAAGAAAAACAGATATAGATCTTTTTAAATGGTTTATTTTTAAATTACAACATTAAAATTAATTTTACAAGGAAACACATACCCCAGAGTCACATTGTCCAAAAAGCCATTTTAAAATTTTATCTTCCAAATTTGATCTTTTTGTTCACATAATTTCACCTCTGTGAGACTTATTTCCTAAGCTGAGAAGCTAAGTCCTGAATTACTCTTTTTACCTGCCTAGCTCCTGGGGTACAGGATAACTGAGTGACTCTGTTACTACCAATCTTCACTTTTTCACTTAACATTATATTTAAATGTTTATCACATTGATATAAAATCTTTACCATTTTAAGGCTTTACATATTTGTGTTGGTATACCACAGTTTACTTAGGTGTTTTCTTACAGGAAGACATTTAGGCTACTTTCAGCTTTTCACTATAATTCTGCCTTGAACATCTTTATGCAAACAACTTTTTCCCCTTTTTGTTTTTTAATTTTTACTTTTATTTTAAATAATAATTGTACACATTTACAAGGTTCAATGTGATGTTTCGATATATGTGTACATTGTGGAAAGATTATATCTAGATAATAAAGTTACCCATCAGCTCACATATCTTTTTTTTATGGTAAGAACATTTAAAATCTACCCTTTTAGCAGTTTTGAAATATGCATTATTATTAACTATGGTCACTATGCTGTGCAATAGATCTCAAAAAGTTACTCTTCCTGTCTAACTGAAACTTTGTACCCTTGGGACAACATCTCTCTGTCCCCCACCCCACCCCTTTTTTAATTCTTTCCCAGGACTGGAGTTAGTAGGCCAAAGGGTACGGATATCTCTGTGGTTCTGAGTATGTACTGCCAAAAGAATGCTATCAGTTTTCAGAGCTACTAGCAATGCCTGAGTTTAACCATTTCTCTAAAATATTGCTCACATTAGGTTTTATTCGACATTTTAAAAATTACTAACAGATATTAAATAGTGCTTAATTATTGTCTATATTTCCACTTTTTTCTCTAGCAATAAGTTTAAATAGCCTTCTCAATACTTTTTTTTTTTAATAAAACAACTGTTAATCTATCTTCCTACTGTAAGGAGAGAACTCAGCAGTGCATCTGAATGCAACAAAATCACACTAGAGAACGTTAATAGAGCAGAGAGGATAAAAATTAATTCCAACCCAGGCATAGTGGCTCACACCTGTAATCCCAGCACTTTGGGAGGCTGAGGCGGGCGGATCACCTGAGGTCAGGAGTTTGAGACCAGCGTGGCCAGCATGGTGAAACCCCGTCTCTACTAAAAACACAAAAATTAGCTGGTGTGGTGGCACACGCCTGTAATCCCAGCTACTCGGGGGTCTGAGGCAGGAGAATCGGTTGAACCCAGGAGGTGGAGTTTGCAGTGATCCGAGATTACACTACTGCACTCCAGCCTGAGTGGCAGAGCAAGACTCTGTCTCAAAAAATAAAACAAAAATTAATTCCAACAGAAAGAGCAAATTTCTCCTTCTCCCAATCAGAATGGACTCTCTGGGAAGGCAAGAGAGCATTAATAGAGCGTTGTTTAAGCTGATACAGCTTCCTTAAACTGAAAGAACACTAAAGGAAGTGAGGCCTCTCCAAGTTTCCTTTCCTTGAAATTTACATCAATTGTGCAAGAACCATAGTTTCCTGGAATTTTGGTTCAGATTCCAAACATCTCAAAAATAATTCCCTGTGCCCTGCTAAATAGAAAGGAAGCAGATGAAAATCATATGAGAAAAATTAAAGCATATAGGAAGCTTAGAATAACATTATAGTGTGTCAAAAATCAAACCAACAAATGTAATTTGGGGTAGTTTCCACAAATAACTGCATTTGTTTTTCTAAGATTGTATTACCAATTGAGTCCAGAACTCTCTGATTTGCTCGTTTCTCCCTCTGGAAAGATGCACAAATGAAATAAGAATAGAGGAACATTAAAAATAATAAAGGCATGAAAGTGAAGGATTAAAAGTCCTTGTTCCCATAGCAACTGCACCAGCCACATTTGCACTAGACAGGCCATTCCTTAGACGTGCATCTGTTTCTTGCACTTATTTATTTCTGGGAAAGCACAAAACACACTAATAAAATCACAACAAAACTCCATATGATTTGACTTTGGGAGGCCAAGGTAGGCGGATCACCTGAGCGCAGGAGTTCGAGACCAGCCTGGCTAACATGGCAAAATCCCATCTTTACAAAGATACAAAAATTAGCCTGGCATGGTGGCACACACCTGCAGTCCCAGCTACTTAGAGAGCTGAGGCAGGGCAGGAGGATCGCCTGAGCCTGGGAGGTGGAGGTTGCAGTAAGCTGTGATCATGCTACTGCACTGCAGCCTGGGTGGAAGAGCGACACTCTGCCAAAACACACACACACACACACACACACACAAACAAAAAAAAAAACCACTACATATGATTTGAGACCAACATGTTATAGTTGCCTAGGTAATAACAATCTTATATTTCCCATGGGAAACTGGCAGTGCTAGCTTTATGTGTATATTTTTCACATTGTGCAGCAGAGTGAAAACAGCCCTCTCCTCCCATAAGATTAGGCTGTAATCTGTTTAATGTCTTTTGTGTAAAATGCTAGATTTATTTAAAGAGGTGGTTCTCCAGATCTCCAGGAAAAATCAGACTCTATGAACAAAAGAATAACAGCTTAAAGAAAAACTCACTCACTAAATTAAAGGTAAATGATATTAAGAAAAAAAAAAAAGGTTCTGCCTTCAGTCCTAGGTGGAGATCCAAGGATTCTGGCTACTCTTCGGTAAAAGTTCTTGGTTTCTGCCAAGAAAATAACACAAGAATTGGATTAAAATGAAGCTTCATGAGAATAGGGACCTAGACCTGGGCCAAACGCCTAGTAGTGTTCAATAAGAGAATAGGGACCTAGACCTGGGCCTAAAGCCTAGTAGCGTTCAATAAATACCTACTAAAAAACTGAATTAATACACTTCTCAAAGACTCAAGAAGCCGGAATCTACAAAAGACCAGACAGTATACTCTAAAGGAATTTTGTAAGACTTGTCCCCTAAGCTGAACAAAGCTAACCTCTGTATTGTACCTGCCCAGCTATATAAATACTCTGTGCCTTCTGAGTCCTCTTATATATAAGGAATTTCTGCTCACTGTAGCCTGATTGAAGAGTGCATAGTTGTTTGGCTTATCAAGTTGCCAATCAAACGCTATGAGGGAGAACTTCAAAATGTGCCTTAGTTCATGGGGTTGGCAGTAAAGAGCTGATGTTCTCTGGGTTGCTGTATATAATTCCAAAGTTTTATCCAAAAAAGTTGATTTTTATTTTTTTATTTTTTTGAGACGGAGTCTTGCTCTGTCACCAGGCTGGAGTGTAGTGGCGTGATCTTGGCTCACTGCAACCTCTGCCTCCCGGGTTCAACTGATTCTCCTGCCTCAGCCTCCCTAGTAGCTGGGACTACAGGCATGTGCCACCACACCCAGCTAGTTTTTGTATTTGTAGTAGAGATGGGGTTTCACCATGTTGGCCAGGATGGTCTCCATCTCTTGACCTTGTGATTCGCCTGCCTCGGCCTCCCAAAGTGCTGGGATTACAGGCGTGAGCCACCACGCCCAGCCAAAAAAAAAAAAAGTTGGTTTTTATAAGAAACACTACTAATAGCCAAACCAAAATTCCAAGAATGAAAATGTTGCCTTCAGGGGAAAAAAAATGAGGCCCATCAGAAAGGCTACTGGGTTCCCATGGTGATATTTGTTTCTGATTGTATGTATATAATATTAAATACTCTTTTCTGGAGTTTTAAAGACTTTTAAGAAAGGGAATGAACCAGATTCATTTTCTTTCTAATTTTTGATATCCAACGGCATATTTTCTGGCCCCTAGAGAGATTGTTTGTGGAGGAGAGACAATCAGAGAGGGCATGTGTGAGAAACCATGTGTGAGAGATGGTGTGTGCGCGAGGTTGTATATGTGTGAGAGAGACTGTATGTATGTGAAATCATGTGTGTATGAGAGAGATTGTGTGTATGAGAGATTGTGGGTGTGTGAGAAAGACTGAGAATCTCCTGACTACAAAAAACAGGAAACTTCTTTAAAATAAGCCTATGAGATTCTGCCTATTTTAATTCCTTCTCTGGGCCTGAAAACATTTTAATAGAAGATCCCAAATAACTCTTACTCTTCTCCATGTGTACACATGTTTACTTTCCATATTTACTTTTCTGTATTTTACCTGTACAATAACCCATCGTTTTCCCAATGTACAGATAAGGCATACACAGAAAAAAAAGTGATATTTTATTTAAACACCCTTCCATTTTCCTTGAATAAAATGGATGGAGTAGTACAAAAAATAATTATCAATTGGATATATTCCCCTCACCACCCACTGAGAAAGACATATTCTTACCCAGTTACAGAAAGATACATCATTTGATACACCATCAAACGACCCAAGGCTCCAACAAACAACACACACTAGGAAGCACTCAACAGAAAGGGACAAATACACAGACCTTCAGTGAGACACTAGGAAAGGAGGCTAAAGGAACAAGAGGGACAGTGAAATGTGTCTTCCTTGAAAAGGACGGGCAGATACTCAGGCAAGAACAGGGGTACTCTGCTGGAGAGTGTAACTGGGTGCATGTGTGTGTTTCTCTCTCACATACAAACCCACACACACTAATCTCTTATACAAATGCGCTCTCTCTTAAATATATGCACTGGCTCTCTCACACAAGTAATTTCTCTTTCACACTTGATCTCTCTCAGTTTCTGTTGTTCCCTCATACAATCTCTCTCTCACAGTCTCTTGCATACACATACAATCTCAATCTCTCTCTCTCTCTCTCTCTCTCTCTCTTTCCCCCCCCCCTCCTCTCTCTCTCTCTCTCTCTCTCTGAAACGGGGTCTGGTTCTGTCGCCCACGCTGGAGTGCAGTGGTGTGATCTCTGCTCACTGCAGCCTCGACTTCCCGCGCTGAGACGATCCTCCCACCTCAGCCTCCTGAGTAGCTGGGACCACACTGCCGCCACCACGCCCGCCTAATTCTATTTTTAGTAGAGATGGGGTTGCCCAGGCTGGTCTCCAACTCCTGGGCTCAAGCTATCTGCCCGCCTCGGCCTCCCAAAGTGCATACAATCTCTTATACGCAGTTTCTTTTATATAGAATCTCTCTCACACACACACACAAATCACGCTCAGCGTCTCTCTCACACTCTCTAACGGTCTCTTACGCACACACAATATCCCTCATACATACACACAGCCTCTCTCATGTACAATCTCCCTCATGCAGTGTATGTCCATAGTTTTTCACACAACACCCTTCTTCTCTCAGTCTGTCGGCCTCTCTCTCAATCTCACACACACACCCCCGCCCCCCAACACACCGTTGGCCCCGCCCCCTGTCTTGGCCCCTCCCCTGTACGGCTCCGCCCCGACGGCCGGGGGTTGGGCGAGCCAGTGACAGGAGGGGCCGGGCTGGTACTTCAGGCGCCCAGGCCGGCGGGGCGCGCTCCGGCGGCTCCTGTCAGCGGCGGGTGCGGCGGATCCCAGGGCAGCCTTCGGGCGGCGGCGCTGCCTGGTGCGTCGCGGCGTGGTCCTCCGGCGGCTGTCCGGGGCGGTAGGAGTTGGCTGCGGGATGTGCTCAGCCGGGGAGCTGCTGCGGGGCGGCGACGGCGGGGAACGCGACGAGGACGGGGACGCGCTGGCGGAGCGGGAGGCGGCAGGGACCGGGTGGGATCCCGGGGCGAGCCCGCGGCGGCGCGGACAGCGGCCGAAGGAGAGCGAGCAGGTGAGCGCGGGGAGGGGCGGCGGCGAAGCGGCCGGGTCGGGGGCCGCGAGCCCCGCCCGGCGTTGGAGGGAAGGGGCCCGGCCCGCGGGCCGCGCCGCAGCTCTGCCCCGCGTGGGCACTGGCTCCCCGGCGCTCTGGGAAGTCGTCGCCGGGAGCGGTTAGACGGCGCTCCCAGGAGGAGCGGCGGGGTCGCGCGAGTGCAGACGCCAGCGCCGGCCCCGGGGTCGCGTGTCTGGCGGGGTCAGCGTGGTTCGTCCCCTGGCGTCCGGCAGAGGATTCTCAGGCTGGCGCCCAGGGCTCGGAGGAAATGCCCTCCATAGCGGTGATTTATTTAAAAGCCTCACTTGTAAACACTTCTTTTTCAACTTCGAGTCCGTGCCCTGCGCCAGGTTTAGGAGACGCCGGCTCCCCTCCCGCCCTCCATCTTGCGTTTCCGAGCCCACACCTAGCGTGTCTGGAAGGTGTGGGTGGATTCCGTCCACGGGCAGCGCTGAAAGCATGAGTAGGAGCGGGTGTTACAATGAATGTCTTGACAGGGACTCTCCCAGAGCACGTTCTTCATAAATACAGATGAGATCAAAGCTTCAGTTAAAAAGTGGAGAGGCAAGAATATTGCTTTCGGTTATAAGAGGCCAGCCATAGTAAGGGAAAAGAGAAGTTGCGTAATTTTTTAAACTCTCTGAGTTTATCTCATTTAAATAAAGTGTGATAATGGGCATTATAACATCAAATATCTTAAAGATTAGGCAAAAGGTTTAATTTTAAAAATTGAATTGTATGTTGGATGAATTTTCTACAGCAAATACAGTATTTAGACTTTCCAAATACCTGAGGTAAGCCGCTCTTTAGACTCACATTAAGGAGCAGGAATTCAAATGATTATTGGCCTTTATTACAGCCTGTACTGTTAGGACAATTAATACCTGTCTCTCCTCATCTTTCTTCATCTGTCCTTTCTGTCACGTTTCACAAATTCCAGTATCATCACTAAATGCATTAATAGATGTATACCTTACATTGTTTCAATAGGTTACTTAGGAAACAGAGTAATACTGTGTGGCACACAAAATATGCCTTAGCGTTAGGTTTGATCACCACGTGGAGTGTAATTTTTCATCTGTGACAATATAAGAGAAAGTGACTCAAGCAAATAATTTGGTAGCTTGTTCTTCGGATTCCCTTCCTAGTGGTTTTTCCCGTTAACTATTCATTTGCTCAAGGGCTTGATTTCCTCTAACTTAAATTGCTTAACTGGAAAAGTGAAGAAGACAGCACAAGAATTCCTTTGGGGGTGGGGAGGGGTTGCATTTGAGCAGGGGTTTCCAAAGTAAATTTTCAAATAGTTGTAAGGGAGCATATAAAAATACTTCATTTAAGCTTCTGTGTACTTCATTAGTATGATTATGTAGACATCACTAATAGTTGTGGTCTTTCCAAAATTGCTTATGGTACAAAGTAAAAGGATAAAACAAAAAATGAAAAGTACATCTTAGAAAACATATCACTTTGCATACCTGCCTCCTTCATTGAATGTCATGAAAGTTCATTCTCCTGTACTCCTTTGAAGTGTTATTTTTATCATTCTGTTTTTGCCTCAAGATTTATTAATGTATTCTAAGCCCCCATACACAATAATTGAAAATCACACCGGAGATAGGCATTTCCTACTACATTAGCACCAAAGAAGAATTAGTCAAGAAGACAAAAATAAGCAAAAAATTGGTGCAACCCAACCCATTGTTGTAAAAAGCAAGCTTTTCTGATAAAACGTTTCTTGGTAATGTTATCACAAAGCCTTGTTTTCTAGTTTTTTTCAAGTTCTGTAAATGAAATTATGCATTGCCATGTAATGATGGTAGAAATAGTATTACATGTGTAAAGATATTTGAGGAAGAAATGAAATTAACAACTATGGAACATATCCCAAGGACTCATTTTATTTAGTTTTTATTTAGGGAGATGATTTTTGTTTGTCCTGTTGGTTGGTTTAAGGATACAAGGACTCCAGATTACAAATGGAATATTTTTGAAAGATTGGTTTCTAAGTTAATGATTTAGAACTTAAGGTGAACTTTTCCATGAAAACAATGATATAAACAGGAACAGAACCAAAACTAATTAGCTGGAAATGAGACAGAGGCCATCTTCCTGCCGTCTTTTCTACTTGGCACGCTCACTTCGTGTTCCGGAGTCATGGATAGCCTCATGGGTATTGAGAGGAAATTAGAGGCAGGAGCTAGCAGAGGCGCTCCTTTTAACCCAGAAAAGAGCTATGGTTGTATGCTCTTGAACACCATAGCTCCAGAGGCACCTGACTTGTGCTCCTCTAGCTCTTTCAATGATTTTGTCAACACCTAATTTTCTGTATTAAGTCCCTTTCTATTTCTATTCCCCTCACAGAGTTTGCCCTTTCCTAATAATTTGATGGAGGTTTCTTTCTTGGGCTATTTCTCAAGCTAAATCCTCGTCCACATACATCCCTTCCTTCACTGATTTTTCTTTCCACTTCTGTCTGAAAGGTTCATTCCTTTTCCTCAACCTGGAAAGCTCTTTCATCAGCTTGTTATTACAATACCAGAACAAAATGTATCTTTATTTTGTTACTTATTTCATATATATATGAAATATATAAAACACCTAGTATTAACATAGGTGTTTTATTACTAGTTAAGATATTGTCTGCATCATTTTTAACAATTTGTCTTTAGATGCTACTCCATTTGAGCAAAAAATGAAGGTTCTTCTGTCATTCTGGCCTGAGTCTTTCCAGGTAGGGCGATTGACAAAGGATGCCTGGTTAAAATCAAGTCACTTAAGAAAGGAGGCCTTGGGAGAATGAATCAAGTCCTGTAGATGAAGAAACTGTGCCAGGTTTGAAATAGGATCAGGTGTCTAAAGAGAGATAAGCAAGGGAAAGAAGCAATTTCAGGGAATGTCCAAGAAACTGAAGGGACAGGACACAGCTATTCCATATATGTGTTGGTAATTGTGTGTATGAGAGATGATCCAAGTATGTTCATGAGGGTGAATGCCAGGTGGCTTTATGTAAGAGTTTCTGTGCCCTGATGCATAGCTGAAAGGCTAAACATCTCTAGTCCATTATTATATGCCTTAAATGTCAATAGCATCTGCTTAGATGTGGCACAATGTACAGGTCACTCACAATCTGAAATAACCTAACATGACCCTCTTACCTAGAGAATAGGGAAGTCCCATTATCCTTAGATTGACTTTCGAATTATTAACTCTAGCTTTAACGTCTTTATGATTATAAAAGTAATGTGTGCTTTGGAAAATTAGAACTATAGAAAGATCTAAAGAAGAAAAAAGCCTTTGAAATCCCACTCTATTTTGGGATTTTGATATCAAATATTTTGATATCAAATATGAAACTTGGTATTACTACAGTATATTCATTTGTCTATGTGTATATGCATATATACACACTTTTTTTTTGAGATAGGGTTTTGCTATGTTGCCCAGGCTAATCTCAAACTACTAGCCTCAAGCAATCCTCCCGTCTCAGCCTCCCGAAGTACTGGGATTACAGGTCTGAGCCTCTGTGCCCAGCCACACATGTATTTTTAATATGTTTTAATATAAATATAATTTTGTGTCTTCTTTTACAAAAGGTTGTGTCATTTTCCCATGTTATGGAAATTCTATGTGAAAACTCTCTTTAGGGCTGCCAAATAATTCATTCCCCTAACACCGCACATTGAAGTTGCTTCAAGCTTTCTTTTATAAATCGTGCTGTCTGAAAATATTTGCTTGTAAATCCTTAAACTTCTACCCTGGTATAGATTCCTAGAAGTAGAAGAACTAGGTCAATGAGTCAAACTCTTTGAAGCCTCTTGAAACATCCTAAAGAATTTAATTCAAGAAAGGTTGTACTCATTTACACTTGCAGCACTGGTGTGTAAAAAGGCCAGTTGGAAACCATCCATGCCAGCAATGAACAATATAGTTTATAATCATTGCCAATTTCATAGGTGAAACTTCTATCATATTGTAAGCTGTTGCTGGAGAGGTTTACTAAACCATTCATATATTTATTAGGCATTTGTATTTCTTTTTAGTCATTTTTTTTCTTTTGGCATTATAAGGATATTAATCCCTTATTTTCACATTGGCTGTAAATATTTTCTCTGCTTGCTATTTACTTTATAATTTTATTTATGTTTTTTAAAATTTGATAATGCTTTGAATTTTTATTAAAGGAATTTTTTTGGTAATTTCGTATATACACACACCACTCACATGTATACACGTATCTCTTTCTATACATATTAAGAAATTTTTTCTAATCTTACAATCAGTTAAATATTTGCCTATGTTTTCTTTTGTATGTGTGCATTTATGGTTTAATTTTTTACTCTATATATTTAATCTCTTTAGAATGATTTTCTATATTGTATGAAGTATGGAGCTGATCTTTTTTTGTCCTAATCATTGAATAATGTACTTTCTGCCTTGCTTTATAATCTTTTATAGTATTAAGGATTATATTAAAGTCTGTATTAAGTTTTTATATTTTTGTTGGTATTATGAAAAGGATTTTTTCCATATCATATTTTGTTGGTGGTTTCTAGCTATTGGCTTTTATGTATTTCATTTTTAACTGGCCATCTTTCTAAATTTTTATACTGGTACTAATAAATACTAGTAGCTCTTAGACTTGATTCATTTGCATCTTCTAGGTATATAATTATCCAGTTTATAGATAAAAATAATTTTGCTTCCTTTCAAATGATAATGTCTCATTTCTATTTCTTGCCTTTGGCAATGCCTAGAACTTTCAGAACAATGCTGGCTCATAGATAAATGTAAGTAAATAAATGAAGGAACTTCTGTAACAGCATTTGCCAAAGTGTGTTCCATGAGATGATCTGTAAAAAAGAAAACAAAATGGGGGGTTCAGTGAGGGGGGTCCATGCCTTTTGATCTATCAGTAGAAATATGATTAACAGTACAGATTCTAGATCAGGGTTACCTGGGTTTGCCTTTTATTGACTGTAACTTTAGGCAAGTAACTAACCTCTCTGGGCTGCAGTTTCTGCATCTGCATAATGGGAATAATTGTAACAACTTCATAGGATTATTGGAAGGATTATATGAATTAATAATATATGAGATGTACTTAGAGCAGTCTCTGGCACATAGCTATCTAGCATGTGAGTGTTAGCTGTTAGGCCTAATTTTGGACCAAAGTCCTAACTGAAACGAAATCTGAGAAAGGCAATTTTAAGTTTTCCAGCCTCTGCAATTAGAAAACCACCTGAGGCGAAAAGCAGAACAGCATTAATATAGTTTGGGCGTTTGTTGCCTCCAAATCTCATACTGAAATGTGATCTACAGTGTTGGAGGTGGGATCTGGTGGGAGGTGTTTTGATCATGGGGGTAGATCCCTCATAAACGGCTTAGTGCTATGCCTTTGGTGACAAGTAAATTGTCGCCCACTTAGTTCACACAAGATCTGGTTGTTTAAAAGAATCTGGGACCTCTCTCCCTCTCTCTCCTTCCCTCCCTCCCTCTTGCCATGTGACACTGCCTGCTCTCCCTTCACCTTCTGCCATGATTGTAAGCTTCCTAAGGCCCTTACCAGAAGGAGATGCCAGCACTATGTTTCGTGTACAGCCTGCAGAACCATGAGCCAAATAAACCTCTCTTCTTTATAAATTATCCAGTGCTATATTGTCTGTGTCTGATTTTTTTATAGCAATGGAAACTGACACAAGTATTCCTCAACTTCAGTGTGCATAGGAATCATCTCTTATTAAATGCAGATTTTGATTCAGTTGGTTTGGAGTGAGGTCTGAGATTTTGCATCTCTACAAACTCCTAAGTGATGCTGATGCTGTGCCCATGGACCACATTTTGGCAAGGGAATGGAGAATAAGCAAGTCAATATACTGTATTCACCACACTTGCCCTTCAACATAGTATCAGTAATATATACATATGAAGTTGTTTAACTATTTTCTTAGAAGTGTATATTTAAACTCTTGGTAAAATATGAGAAGCCAATAGTTGTTCCCTAGGCCACGTTATTTGCTGTAGGTCCTACAGCTAACTCATGCTAGAGCAGACTAGAACCCAGGTTTCCGAACACCAAAGCTAGTGTTTTTTGTTTGTTTGTTTGTTTCACAAATACAAAAAGCACATTACATGATGGAAAAACAGTCTGACAAATTTTCTGCCCTACTTTAGATGGTGTAGTTCAAAACTAAATATTAGTTTATACTCACTTCCTTTCACGTATTTTAAAAGCAGTTTGCAAGCAATATTGTAATAAGTGCTATGAGCTTAGTTGAATTCTGCCCTAACTTAATCTCATCTTGTTCCTAAGGACATCCAGTCACTAGAGTAACTCAGGGAATAATTTTGCATTTGATAGGCATCTTTTGTTCATTTTTTTAAATCATCCAGACTGGAACTTCTAAATCAGTGGTTCTCAACTGGGGGCCTTTTGTCCATAGGGGGCATTTGACAATGTCTGGACATTTTTTTATTGCTGAAACTAAGGAGGTGGTACTGACATCTAATAGGAAAAGGCCAGGAATGCTGGTAAACATCGTATAATGCCATAGTCCCCTACAGCGAAGTATTATCTGGCACAAAATTTCAATAGTGCCAAAGTTGAGAAACAATATTCAAAATATGTAAGGGTTACAGTCCTTTGAGTTGTCAAAAGTAATTACTCTGATAATAGATATTCCAATAGATAGGTTAAAATTGTTTATTTGCTTGAAACCTGTATTTTAAACAGAATTTCAAACTTTTCTCTGTGTCTCTTCTAGCAGCTCCTCGTATGCAACTTGCTGTATTTTGCTTTCTCACACATTCCTTTTCTGCCTTTCTTTCCTACCACCCATCTCCTTTCTGTCTCTGTTGAGTCTCGTTCTCTCATGTGTTTTTTCCCTCCCCACGCATCTCAACCACTTTCTCTTCTTCTGCATACATCTTCCCCTACCTCTTCCACTTCAGTGCAGAAGCTGAGCATTATGAAACAATGAAAAGGGGGTTGAAGTATGACAGATCTAATTTTGAATCCCGGTTTTACTCTTTATTAGCCCCCGTGATCCTGATTACTTAATCCGTCAGAGATTCAATTTCCTCATTTGTAATGGGTATGATGCTACCCACCTCTTAAAGTTTTTATGAGGATTCAGTCTCATTTTGTATGTAAAATGCCTAACACATGGAGGCACTCAATAAATATTTGCTCCTTATTTCTCCCTCACCTTTTCTATTTTTCTTCTTTTTCTCTGGTTTTCCTCCCCTTATTTCCCTCAACTAACACATCATAGAACTGTGTTTTTAGTACATGTAATTCTCAAATTTATAGAATATTTATTGAACAAAGTGTTAAGATTGTGAAACAATGTATCTAATGTTTAGAATAGACAATCTCTAAAGAAAAAATTAAACCTGTCAACCTAAATTATGTTGTTTTTTATGTAGATCTCTAGTTGGTTTCTTTTCCCCCTTGTTGCTCACTAATCCTTGAGAGGAAAAATACCCACCTCCTCTGTACAAACTATTCTCAGTTTCCTATTCAAAAGAAGTGATAAGGCAAGATTAAAAGGAAAAACTCAAAGTACCATGACATCAGTCTTGCTGTAACAGAAATATGTAGAAATTCTGTGTCTCTATTCATGTGTTCTTTAAGACTTAGCAACACTGTCTTCATTTTCTGTCTTTTCTGGAGTCATAATCTTATCTTCCAGTAACAGCCACCTATCTCCGAAAACCTTGTTCCTACTAGTTATGTTTTATTTCATTGTGTTTATGTGTGTTTGAGAGAATTAATAAGACATTTGAAATGTAGCTTCTTTTGAGCAGATAAACCGAGTTTCTAACCAACCTGATGCAGAAGATACTTTCTATCTTCTGATCTTTTTCCCCATACCCAGTGTTTCCCCCGGCACCGCCCCCAGCCATTTAACTTCATTGGCAGCTGAGTCTTATCTTGGCATAGGAAGAGGAAGTGATTGGCTTTATTTCTTGCTGTTTTCTTAGGGCAACAACTGCAGCTTATCAGAGTTCTAATCAAAAGGAAAGCATGGTACAAATGTTTTTAACTTTATGGAAAATAAAGGATAAAATTATCATTAATACTTAATATCTAAACATAATGTTAAGAAAGTTAAATTCCCATTGTGGTTTTTACAGTATTTATTTTCATGTAACTTTTTAAATATCTGTGTTTGAGAATTTCTTTTATTTCCTCTTCCAATTAATCCAAAATAATTTAATTTTTGTTTTGTATCCTCTTAATTAAATTTTACTTGAATGTCTGCAGATGGCCTACAGAGGTAGGGAATTTAAGTTTGATGTTGCATGATTGCAAATTCCATCAGTCTGACTGAATTGAGGATTTCTTATTCCATGAGTTTTAGAGGTAATAACAGCAGAAGCGAAATTTTCACTGCCACAAATTGAGAATTGAGAAGGAAAGTCATTTTTCAGGAGAGATATTTGATTTTGACTACTTTTTTCCCCTAAGTTTGATACTTTATTTTTTAAAATTTATTTCTTATTTTTTTATTTTTGAGACAGAGTCCTTTGTTGCCCAAGCAGGAGTGCAATGGTAGGATCTCAGCTCACTGCAACCTCCACTTCCCAGGTTCAAGCAATTCTTGTGCCTCAGGCTACCGAGTTCCTGGGACTACAGGTGCATACTACCATGCCTGGCTAATTTTTGTATTTTTAGTAGAGATGGAGTTTTGCCGTGTTGCCCAGGCTGGTTATGAACTTCTGGCCTCAAGCAATTTCCCTGCCTTGGCCTTCCGAAGTGCTGGGATTACAGGCATGAGCCACCGTGCCCAGCCTGGCTACTTTTAATGGATAAGTTTACCCATCTTGTAGTAGCATCTAGCATATTGTCCTGCATATGCAAGGTACTAAGTAATGTCACCAGAGATTTCATATTTTTTTTTAAAAAAGTAGATTCTTGAAAAAGTATAAAATGTAGAAATGTCTTAACCTGCAGTTTGAAATCAGAAAGAGGCTTGAGCAGGGTGTGGTGGGTCATGCCTGTAATCCCAGCACTTTGGGAGGCTGAGGTGGGCGGGTCACCTGAGGCCAGGAGTTCGAGACCAGCCTGGCCAACATGGCGAAACCCCGCCTCTCCAAAAAGATACAAAAATCAGCCGGGTATGGTGGGGAATACCTGTAATCCCAGCTACTCAGGAGGCTGAGGTAGAAGAATCGCTTGAACCCAGGAGGCAGAGGTTGCAGTGAGCCAAGATCGCAAACTGCACTCCAGCCTGGGCGACAGAGCAAAACTCCGTCTGCGCCCACCACCCTCCCCCGCCACAAAAAAAGAGGCTTGAGTTAGGCATATTCTTGAGTTCGTGGCCCACAGTTATATATCATTAGTTCATGAAAAGCCCTTCTCTTATTTAATTATTTTTCCATTGCATAACCATTTCTTTCTCTACAATAGGCAGCTGTTCCAATACGTCTGTTAGATATTACTGAAATTGAGTGTATCTTTTTGACTACCTGGTGGTTTCATTTGTGTGTCTGCAATTATGACTTATAATTTTAAAAATATTGAAGCCCGGTAGTTAAAATGAAAAATGAATGCAAATTTTGGTATTTTTCTGTTTATAATCATTTCAAAGACTAAGTTCTAGTTGATATTCTCATTGTTTTTATCCATCCCCTCAAAAAAATCTTTTTTCTTTTATTGGGTCTATGTAGTTTAGTGGGAGGTAAGTATAAAACAATGCTATAATTTTTCATTTACTGATAAGTGACAAACAAGTTATAATGATAAGTTATAAATTATATAATATAATATAATGCTATTATTAGATGAAGCCTTATATAGGTAGTACATTTTTACATTTAATTTATATCATTTTTTAACGTTTTGTAGGAAATGAAAACTGCAACTTCATGTAGAGTCCAATAAATAGAAAAATATGTCCAGCCTCACTATAAAGAAAAGAAATGCAAATTAAAACAATTAGGAATGATTTTTTACCTATCAAGTTGTCAAAGATTAAAAAGATGAATGGTGTGGGTTTAGAGATATAGTGTATAAAATACTATATTTGGCTATATGAGATATAGTGTATAAAATACACTAAAAATTAGAGGTATAAGTTAGTTCAGTATTTCTAAAAGGAAATTTGATATCAAACCTTATGAACAGATACTATTATTGCCCCTACTTTAAGATGTACAAATTGGAGAGCAAGGAGGTTAAGTAACATAGTGAAAGTATAGCAGCTAGTAAGTTGCAGAGTTGAGATTCAAACCCATGCTTAAAAGCCCTAAACTACCAAGCTAGTGTTTGGCCATGAAATCAATTTAGTGGATTTTAAACAGGATAGAGTAATATAGAAATTATTAGAATGCATCACACATAGTATGAGTGTCACTCTGTGGAACTTAATATGTACTAGTTCAGGATATAAAATACTGTATATTTCTTATTGTGGATGACAGTCACGATCACTGCAGTAGCATAGATAGATCAATTCTATCTCAGGTCATTTGCCTGGAACTCTTCCCCCAGATCTTCCCTTGGCAGAGCTTCATATCCCAGCTTATCTATTACTTCCTCAGAAAGTTCAGCTCTGACTACTTTGTGGAAAGAACCTCCCACCCCATAATCCTCTATTCCACTAGCCTGTTTTCTTTTCCTCATAGCTCTTCTTGCTATTTGAAATTATCTTCCTTGTTAATATGTTTATTCTCTGCCACTCCTCACTGCCCTCTCCACAGGTACACTCTAAAACATAATCCCCATGAGGACAGAGATTACATTATATGGCAAATGTTTCAGAAAATTATTTGGGCATCTCTGAGCTACTAGAGATGAATCTGTCAAAACTTCTTCTCCAAAAACACACTTGCTAGTAAAAACTCAGTTGATGTTTTTGCTGAAGAACTGTGACTTCCCAGGTGAAATTACCATGACAGAAATTAGTATTCATGAGGGAGAAACTTGGACTTTGTGTATAACAGGAACATGTCTTCTTATCAGAATCAACAGAAGAGGAACTAGTGATGTTAGTTGTGCATTGAGCTTAAAAGATTTCTGTGAAACATCTGTAAAATTGTAGGCAAGGATTGTAGTCCTTGAAATGCTGTATTTAAAAATTATCACAATATAAAGAAGGTAAAAGGCTAACACACATAGGAACTGGGGATATTAACTTGTATTGCTCTAAATTTTGAATTCTGTTTTTTGTTTTGTTGAAAATAGGATAGTAAGAAACCCAGATAGTCAATGAAGGCCAGAGCTAGTAGAAAGATAGTGAATAAAATTCTTATCAGCCATTTCAATTGTGACAATGTTAAATTATAATTTCCAAAAAGGTAAAATTATGGTTCTCATTAAACATAAAAGAAACACGTGTTAAAGATTTTATGTAACTCATCATCAAGAGGGAACCCAGTAAATGTTACAACCTATTCAAAGAAGAAATCAAAGAACTAAAAGTATTTATGGAGAAGATATGTTGAAACGGATTTCAAAACTGGCTTTTTCCACAGGCAGAGAGAGGGAAGTCAATTGAACCTTCACTGGAACAGAGTTTATTCCTACAGATAAGAATATTTTTGCATTGCTCTCAATTATCTGTAATTTATGGACTTTAAAATAACTCAAAGACCATGAAGATTAATAATATTCTAAGCAATGCCATAGAGACACCCAGAAATTTTTTTTGCTTATTCTAAATAGATAAAGATAATTTAGTAATAGACAAAGATAATTTCTAAAATTTGCTACACTAAGTAGATTAATTTCTGGATAGCAGGGATATGTATGTCTCTTTAGAGTGTCATGTGATGCTAGAAAATGTTAATTCTATTCCAGTCTTCTTGCCTAGTACTATTGAATGCATACATTCAGTGTACATGTGAAAGTGCATGATTTATATGAAAAAAAAGTAAAAATCGATTTCTTTTTGACATTCTGTTATTATATAACTAAAATTAACCTGAATCTGAGATCACTCCCAAAAAAACACCCCAAACACTTCCAAAAAATTTTGGTGAGAACAAGATTGCTGCTCAGAGGATTCCATACCTATGTCTAGTTTTTATTTAGCACAGAAATCCCAATTGCTTGTTCATGTCATCCTAGCATATTTTCTCTGACTGTTGAGTGGTCATTGGTTCAGAGACAACTTTGTCTACTCAAGAGTTTCACAGCAATGTAGAGGCACATTTCATTTAAGCTTTTAAATTTAAAGAAGGGCAAGAACGAAGTGATTTTTTTCCATAGGGAATTAACTAATTAGCATGCCTATCTTTGGCATCAATAAAAATATCCAATGTAAAACACTTGAGAAAAATTACGTAAAGAAAAAAATAGATATCAAACTTTGTCCTTCATTATTTATTTTATTATAATTTATTATTATGGTTTATTTAACAGTAATATACTGAAAAAGGTATAATGATTCTGCCATTTCTGGATGATAATATTTTCTTCTTGGAGTTTAAATGATTCGCTATTTGGAAATCAAAGTCTTTGGGCGCTCTATATTTGGCTACGATTTTCAGGCTTAAGTTGCTCTAACAATCTTGCCATATACTGAAGATACTTTCTCCATTTACATAATATTGAACATCAATTGTTTTAACAACTGATTGTAATCATTGTATTATATAAATGTTTCTGTATTCTTTCTTTTTCTGGCTAGCATATACTTTCTTGATAGCTTTTAGCCCATTGATTTCAAACATTTAATGAGCTCCTACTATTTTTCCAGGCACTGATCTAAGTCAAGATAGAAGGAAACAAATAAAAACAGGCCACATTTCATTTCTCATTAATCTTGTGTTGTAGTAGGGAAAGAGAGACAATGTATAAATGAACAAGTCTATCAGCGAACAAGTAAATCATTGGGTTATATGCACTATGAAAAAAAGCAGAAAGGTAGACAGGGAATGTGGATATGAGCTAGGATTGCTATTTTTATTGTTATTCTTATTTTTTCATTGCTATTGATATATAATATTTGACCATACTTATGGGGCACATGTGATATTTTGATACATGCATTGTATAATGATGAAATCAGTGTATTTAGGATATCCATCACCTCAAACATTTATTATTTCTTTGTGTTGGGAACATTCAAATATTCTCTTCTAGCTTTTTTGAAATATACAATATATTGCTGTTAACTGCAGTCACTAACTGTGCTATTGAACACTAGATTTTTTCTGACTGTATGATTGTGCTTTATCACCCCTTTTCCCCCCATACATACATACTTCCCAGCTCTGTTAACTGTCATTCTACTCTGTCTCCAAAAAATCAACCTTTTTAGCTCTCACATATGAATGAGAACTTGCAATATTTGTCTTTCTGTGCCTGGCTTATTTCACTTTTAAATAAAGTGGTCATGGAAGAGCTCACTGAGGTAATAGTTGAGCAAAGACCCAAAGTAAATGAGAATTACCTACTTGGCTGTGCCCCTCGGTTTGCTTTGACTCTTTAGTAGAGTAAAGCAATTTAAGTCCCAGTCTTAGTAACTATGGTAACATATCTTTCTTCAATCTAGATTCTCAATTCTTTCTCACAATCCCCACTTCCAGTTCTCTATATTTTGTTGCTATTTTATTTGCTCCTACTGTAAGCAAACGCAAATTCTTTGTGGAAAGATAGGAGGAAAAAGTAAATTAACTATGGACTTATTTCAGTTAGCAAATTTCCTCTTTTAAAGGGTGCATTTATTATACCAAAGCCAGACAAAGACACATCAAAGAAAGAAAACTGCAGACCAGTATCTCTGATGACTATTGAGGTACAAATCCTCAACAAAATACTAGCAAACCAAATTCAACAATATACTAAAAAGGTTATTCATCATGACCAAGTGCGATTTATCCCAGGGACACAAGGATAGTTCAACATACACAAATCAATCAATGTGATGTATCAACAGAATGAGGGATAAAAACCATATGATCATTTCAATTGATGCTGAAAAAGCATTTGATAAAATTCAACATCCCTTCATGATTAAAAAACACTAAAAAACTGGATATAGAAAGAAAATATCTCAACATAACAAAAGCCACATATGACAGACCCACAGCTAGTATCATACTAAATGGAGAAAAAATGAAAGTCTTTCCTCTAAGATCTAGAACATGAGAAGGATGTCCACTGGTCACCAGTGTTACTCAACATAGTAATGGAAGTCCTAGCTAGAGCAATCAAACAAGAGAAAGATATAAAGGGCATCCAGATTGGAAAGGAAGAATTCAAATTATGCTTGTTTGCAGATGATATGATGTTATATTTGGAAAAATCTAAGGACTCCATCAAAAAACTATTAGAACTGATAAATTCAATAAAGTTGCATAATACAAAACCAACACACAAAAATCAAAATCAGTAGCATTTCTGGATGGGCACAGTGGCTCATGCCTATAATCCCAGCACTTTGGGAGGCCCAGGTGGACAGATTACTTGAGGTCAGGAGTTCAAGACCAGTCTGGCCAACATGATGAAACCCCATCTCTACTAAAAAATACAAAAATTAGCTGGGCATGGTGATGCGTGCCTGTAATCCCAGCTACTCGGAGGCCGAGACGAGAATCACTTGAACCCAGGAGGCAGAGGTTGCAGTGAGCCAAGATCACACCACTGTACTCCAGCCTGGGTAACAGAGCAAAACTCCATCTCAAAAAAAAAAAAAAAGGAAAGATATTGCATGTTCATGGATTGGAAGAATCAATATTGTTGAAATGTCCATACTACCCGAAGCAACCTACAGATTCAACGCAATTTCTATCAAAATACCAATGACATCCATCACAGAAATAGAAAAAACATTCCCGAAATTTATTTACACTCACAGAAGTTCCAGAACAGCCAAAGCTATCCTGAGCAAAAAGAACAAAACTGGAGGAAACACATTACCTGACTTCAAGTTATACTACAGAGCTTTAGTAACCAAAACAGTGTGGTACTGGCATAAAAACAGACACATAGACCAATGGAACAGAATAAAGAGCCCAGAAACAAATCCACACACCTATAGTGATCACATTTTTGACAAGGGTGCCAAGAATATACACTAGGGAAAAGACAGTCTCTTCAATAAATGATGCTGTGGGAAAAACTGGATATCCATATGCAGAAGAATGAAACTACATCCTTATCTCTCGCCATATACAAAAATCAAATCAAAATGAATTAAAGACTGAAATTTAACATCTCAAACTATGAAACTACTACAAGAAAACATTGGGGAAAAGCTCCAGGACATTAGTTTGGACAAAAAATTCTTAAGTAATACAGACAAGTACAGGCAACTAAAGCAAAAATGGACAAATAGGCTCACATGAAGTTAAAAAGCTGCACAGAAATAAAGATGTTCTTTGAAACCAATGAGAACAAAGAAACAACATAACAGAATCTCTGGGACACAGTTAAAGCAGTGTGTAGAGGGAAATTTATAGCACTAAATGCCCATAAGAGAAAGCAGGAAAGATCTGAAATTGACACCCCAACATCACAATTAAAAGAACTAGAGAAGCAAGAGCAAACATATTCAAAAGCTAGCAGAAGGCAAGAAATAACTAAGATCAAAGCAGAACTGAAGGAGATACAGACACAAAAAACCTTCAAAAAATCAATGAATCTAGGAGCTGGTTTTTTGAAAAGATCAACAAAATTGATAGACTGCTAGCAAGACCAATAAAGAAGGAAAAAGAGAAGAATCAGATTGATGCAATAAAAAATGATAAAGGGGTATCACCACCAATCCCACGGAAATACAAACTACCATCAGAGAATACTATAAACACCACTACGCAAGTAAACTAGAAAATCTAGAAGAAACGGATAAATTCCTGGACACATACACCCTCCCAAGACTAAACCGGGAAGAATTTGAATCCCTGAACAGACCAATAACAGGCCCTGAAATTGAGGCAATATTAATAGCCTAGCAACCAAAAAAAGTCTAGGACCAGACGGATTCACAGCTGAATTCTACCAGAGGTACAAAGAGGAGCTGGTACCATTCCTTCTGAAACTATTCCAATCAATAGAAAAAGAAGGAATCCTTCCTAACTCATTTTATGAGGCCAGCATCATCTTGATACCAAAGCCTGGCAGAGACACAACAAAAAAAGAGAATTTTAGACCGATACCCATGATGAAAACCGATGCAGAAATCTTCAATAAAATACTGGCAAACTGAATCCAGCAGCACATCAAAAAGCTTATCCACCACTATCAAGTGGGCTTCATCCCTGGCATGCAAGGCTGGTTCAACATACGCAAATCGATAAACCTAATCCAGCATATAAACAGAACCAAAGACAAAAACCACATGATTATCTCAAGAGATGCAGAAAAGGCCTTCGACAAAATTCAACAACCCTTCATGCTAAAAACTCTTAATAAATTAGGTATTGATGGGACGTATCTCACAATAATAAGAGCTATTTATGACAGACCCACAGCCAATATCATACTGAATGGACAAAAACTGGAAGCATTCCCTTTGAAAACTGGCGCAGGACAGGGATGCCCTCTCTCACCACTCCTATTCAACATACTGTTGGAAGTTCTGGCCAGGGCAGTCAGGCAGGAGAAAGAAATAAAGGGTATTCAATTAGGAAAAGAGGAAGTCAAATTGTCCCTGTTTGCAGATGGCATGATTATATATTTAGAAAACTCCATCGTCTCAGTCCAAAATCTCCTTAAGCTGATAAGCAACTTCAGCAAAGTCTCAGGATACAAAATCAATGTGCAAAAATCACAAGCATTCCTCCACACCAATAACAGACAAACAGAGAGCCAAATCGTGAGTGAACTCCCATTCACAGTTGCTTCAAAGAGAATAAAATACCTAGGAATCCAACTTAAAGGGATGTGAAGGACCTCTTCAAGGAGAACTACAAACCACTGCTCAACGAAATAAAAGAGGACACAACCAAATGGAAGAACATTCCATGCTCATGGGTAGGAAGAATCAATATCATGAAAATGGCCATACTGCCCAAGGTAATTTATAGATTCAGTGCCATCCCCATCAAGCTACCAATGACTTTCTTCACAGAATTGGAAGACACTACTTTAAAGTTCATATGGAACCAAAAAAAGAGCCCGCATTGCCAAGACAATCCTAAGCCAAAAGAACAAAGCTGGAGGCATCACACTACCTGACTTCAAACTGTATTACAAGGCTACAGTAACCAAAACAGCATGGTACTGCTACGAAAACAGAGATAGACCAATGGAACAGAACAGAGCCCTCAGAAATAATACCACACATCTACAACCATCTGATCTTTGACAAACCTGAGAAAAACAAGCAATGGGGAAAGGATTTCCTATTGAATAAATGGTGCTGGGAAAACTGGCTAGCCATATGTAGAAAGCTGAAACTAGATCCCTTCCTTACACCTTGTACAAAAATTAATTCAAAATGGATTAAAGACTTAAATATTAGACCTAAAACCATAAAAACCCTAGAAGAAAACCTAGGTAATACCATTCAGAACATAGGCATGGGCAAGGACTTCATGACTAAAACACCAGAAGCAATGGCAACAAAAGCCAAAATTGACAAATGGGATCTAATTAAACTAAAGAGCTTCTGCACAGCAAAAGAAACTACCATCAGAGTGAACAGGCAACCTACAGAATGGGAGAAAAATTTTACAATCTACCCATCTGACAAAGGGCTAATATACAGAATCTACAAAGAACTCAGACAAACTTACAAGAAAAAAATCAAACAACCCCATCAAAAAGTGGGCAAAGGATATGAACAGACACTTCTCAAAAGAAGACATTTATACAGCCAAAAGACACATGAAAAAATGCTCACCATCACTGGTCATCAGAGAAATGCAAATCAAAACCACAATGAGATACCATCTCACACCAGTTAGAATGACGATTATTAAAAAGTTAGGAAACAACTGGTGCTGGAGAGGATGTGGAAAAATAGGAACACTTTTCCGCTGTTGGTTGGATTGTAAGCTAGTTCAACCATTGTGGAAGACAGTGTGGCGATTCCTCAAGGATCTAGAACTAGAAATACCATTTGACCCAGCCATCCCATTACTGGGTCTATACCCAGAGGATTATAAATCATGCTGCTATAAAGACTTGGTGCCAACCCAAGTGTCCATCAGTGATAGACTGGATTAAGAAAATGTGGCACATGTACACCATGGAATACTATGCAGCCATAAAAAATGATGAGTTCATCTCCTTTGTAGGGACATGGATGAAGCTGGAAACCATCATTCGGAGCAAACTGTTGCAAGGACAGAAAACCAAACACCGCATGTTCTCACTCATAGGTGGGAATTGAACAATGAGAACCCTTGGACACAGGGTGGGGAACATCACACACTGGGGCCTGTTGTGGGGTGGGGGGAAGGGGAAGGGATAGCATTAGGGGATATACCTAATGTAAATGACTAGTTAATCGGTGCAGCACACCAACATGGCACATGTATACATGTGTAACAAACCTACACATTTTGCACATGTATCCTAGAACTTAAAATATAATTTTTTTAAAAAAAGGATGAGTTCATGTCCTTTGTGAGGACATGGATGAAGCTGGATATCATCATTCTGAGCAAACGATCGCAAGGACAGAAAACCAAACACTGCATGTTCTCACTCATAGGTGGAAACTGAACAATGAGAACACTTGGACACAAGGTGGGGAACATCACACACCGGGACCTATTGTGGGGTGGGGAAGAGGGGAGGGATAGCATTAGGAGATACACCTAATGTAAATGACAAGTTAATGGGTGCAGCACACCAACATGGCACATGTATACATATGTAACAAACCTGCACGTTGTGCACATGTACCCTAGAACTTAAAGTATAATAATTTTAAAAAATAAAATAAAATGAAAAAAAAGCTTCTGCACAGCAAAAGAAACAATCAAGTGAAGATACAACCCATAGAATGGGAGAAAATATTTGTAAACTACCCTGACAAGCGATTAATAACCAGAATATATAAGGAGCTCAAACAACTCTATAGGAAAAATGTCTAATAATTCAATTTTAACATGGGCAAAATATTTAAATAGACATTCCTCAAAAGAAGACATACAGGCCAGGTGCCGTGGCTCACGCCTATAATCCCAGCACTTTGGGAGGCCTAGGCAGGCAGATCACTTGAGCTCAGGAGTTTGAGACCAGCCTGGGCAATACGGTGAAACCCCATCTCTCCAAAAAATACAAAAAAACTAGCTAGGCATGGGCTCAGCTATTTGGGAGGCTGAGGTGGGAGAATCACCTGAGCCTAGGAGTTCCTTCAAGACTACAGTGAGCTGTGATCGCACCACCGCACTCCAGCCTGGATGACAGAATGAGACCCTGTCTCAAAAGCAAAACAAAAACAAGACATACAAATGGCAAACAGGCATATGAAAAGATGCTCAACATCACTGAGCATCAGAGAAATGCAAATCAAAACTACAATGAGATATCATCTCACACCAGTTGAAATGTCTTTTATCCAAAAGACAGGCAATGACAAATACTAGTGAGGATGTGGAGAAAAGGGAAGCCTCATACTGTTGGTGGGAATGTAAATTAGTATGACCACTATGGAGAGAACAGTTTGGAGGTTCCTCAAAAAACTAAACATTGAGCTTCCATATAGCCTAGCAATCCCACTGCTGGGTATATCTCCAAAAGAAAGGAAATTAGTATCTCAAAGAGATATCTACACTCTCATATTTGTTATAGCACTGTTCACAATAGCAAAGATTTGGAAGCAACCTAATTGTCCATCAACAGATGAATGGATAAAGAAAACGTGGTACTTATACCCAAGGGAGTACTATTCAGCCGTTAAAAAGAGTGAGGTCCTGTCTTTTGCAACAACATGGATGGAACTGGAGGTCATTATGTTAAGTGAAATAAGCCAGGCACAGGAAGACAAACATCGCATATTCTTACTTACTTGTGGGATCTAAAAATCAAAATAATTGAACTCATGAAGGTAGAGAGTAGAAGGATGGTTACCAGAGGCTGGGAAGGGTAGTGGGGCGTGAGGGGGAAGTGAGGATGGTTAATGGTTACAAAAAGAATGGAATGAATGAATGAGACCTAGTATTTGATAGTACAACAGAGTGATTGTTGTCAAAATAATTTAATTGTACATTTAAAAATAACTAAAAGTATAATTGGATTGTTTGTAACACAAAAGTAAATGCTTGAGGGGATGGATACCCCATTTTCCATGATGTGCTTATTTCACATTGTATACCTGTATCAAAATATCTCGTGCCCCACAAATATAGACACCTACTATGTACTCAGAATTTTTTTTTTTTTTTTTTGAGACAGAGTCTCGCTCTGTCGCCCAGGCTGGAGTGCAGTGGTGTGATCTCGGCTCACTGCAAGCTCTACTTCCCGGGTTCACACCATTCTCCTGCCTCAGCCTCTCCCGAGTAGCTGGGACTACAGGTGCCCCCCACCACACCCGGCTAATTTTTTTGTATTTTTTTTTTTTAGTAGAGACGGGGTTTCACAGTGTTAGCAAGTATGGTCTGTATCTCCTGGTCTCGATCTCCTGACCTCGTGATCCGCCTGCCTTGGCCTCCCAAAGTGCTGGGAAAATTTTTTTAAATGTTTTTTAAAAGTACATTTCTTAATGAAGATTATATACTCACACCTTAAAATGAATTTGTTTATTCTACTTCCCTTTAAATATGTGGTTCAACTCCTTTACAATAAGAGATTTAGAAATTTGATTATTTGATGTGAAGGGGTGAGGTTGAGAAGGAGAATGTAGTTATTTACAGCAAAGCATGTTTTCTGAAAAAGAAATTTTCCAATAAACTGTACCACAGTTTATTGGAATGAGCTCAGAATTTGTTGTCAGAATACTCCTGCTTTCAAATCCTGGCTGGCTGATTTGGGGGAAGTCCTCTGGTGTCAGTTAGACCTCTGGAGTCTAATAGCACCCACCTGACTGTGATTTTGTGAGGAACTAATGCTTTGGAATATATGTGTTTAATAGTTTATTGAACAAATGGCTATAAGCAAAGGAAGATGGAAAAAGATCAAAATTACAAGGATTTTTTTCTGAAGATATTAAAAATACTGGCCGGGCGCGGTGGCTCACGCCTGTAATCCCAGCACTTTGGGAGGCCGAGGCGGGCGGATCACGAGGTCAGGAGATCGAGACCATCCCGGCTAAAATGGTGAAACCCCGTCTCTACTAAAAATACAAAAAATTAGCCGGGCGTAGTGGCGGGCGCCTGTAGTCCCAGCTACTTGGGAGGCTGAGGCGGGAGAATGGCGTGAACCCGGGAGGCGGAGCTTGCAGTGAGCCGAGATCCCGCCACTGCACTCCAGCCTGGGCGACAGAGCGAGACTCCGTCTCAAAAAAAAAAAAAATAAAAATAAAAAATAAAAATACTAATAATTTTTTCTTGGCCAAGGTATGACTTAAAAATTGAATCTTCAGCATATAAACTATATAAGTATTAATAAAAATCATTAGAGAAGATGAACTCTCCATCAGAAGAGAACATAAAGTAAAAAGATAAGATGCCCTATAGATAAGCCCCTAAGGAGTTCTAACTAAACTCAGAAGGGAATGGGCCAGCGGAAGTAGACCAAAGAGAAAAAGGGAGATGAAGACACCTAGAGTGACTAGTAGGCTTCTGGCTTGCACTGCAGGTTGTGCCATTCATCGAGGCAGAGGATACTGGAGGAAGACCAATTTTAGAGCAGATGGTTATGAACTTGGTACTGGGCATGTTGAATTTGAGGTTTCTCTAAGACATTCATGTAGAAATGTTGAATATGTAGTTGAGCATTCTACTCTAGAGATCTGAAGAGTTGCCTGAGTTGAGAAGTAATGTTCTGAAAGATAAGAGGAAAACCATGAATCTTTTATGGGTCATTTTAATTAGGAAGGGATAGTGCAGCAGTGTTTTATATGGTAATTTGGGTACATATCTTTATATATTAAGCAGTTTAATAGCAGGGAACATGGGTTATTATTTTGTATACCCCACAGCACTTAACCTTACTCTTGATAAGCATTCAATTATTATTTGTTGAATTGAACTAAATTGACTAAGTAATTTATTTTGCAAGCTAGCCTATTCTGTGAATCAAGGATTGTGATTATCTGAGTTAGAGCTTAATAATCAAAGATTCTCAAGGAGAACATGACAGACATCAAGAACCAGTGTGTGGTTTCCTGAAAGTAAGCAGCCATCAGTCTGACAAATCAGTCAGGTCTGTGCAGGCTTGCCACAAGTAGGGCACAGCACATCTTGCATAAAATGCAGGTGCAAAACTTGCTGAGAGGAGAGGATCATAACTTTGGCATGTAAGCACAAACTTTATTACAGTAAGCAGAAAACTTCTAGTAATTTTCACTATATCACCATTCACCTAAAGTTAAAACAACTAATATACTTTGTTATGAAATAAGGTGACTTTATGTAGATACACTGTTTTTCAAAGAGTTTTTTCACAAGAAATGTCACAGATTCACACACTTTTCTTTATCTACAAGACTAGATTCCTACAGACTCTTTAGTTCTATAAATAATGAAAAGCAATTAAACTTTTTTTCCCTACTTAGTCCAAATGATTGATAGCTTAATAGATATTTCATTTCATAAGAATGGTACAGCAGTGGTTATTTCAGAACTCCAAAGAAAAAAATCAGCCAAGTCAATGGGTTTGACAAAAAGTGAAGTATATAAAACAAGAAGCTGTTATTGTACAGGAAACAATATACTCCCAAACAATAAATATAAATGGCATTTTCATAACTTTTTGAAAAATTGTTAGATTCATAAGTACTGTTAACTTTGCTATGAGACAAAATTCCATTATAGATCTTACTAAGAAATTATTGATAAGTTAATTTTAAAGGAAACTTAGTTCTAAGAAGGATGGTTCCTATATTTGGATTTTTTTTTTTAATTTGAGACAGTGTTTGGCTGTTGTTGCCCAGGCTGGAGTGCAATGGCGCGATCTCAGCTCATTGCAACTTCCACCTCCCGGATTCAAGCGATTCTCCCACCTCAGCCTTCCAAGTAGCTGGGATTACAGGTGTGCACCCCCACACCCAGCTTAATTTTGTATGTTTAGTAGAGACGGAGTTTCAGCATGTTGGTCAGGCTGGTCTTGAACTCCTGACCTCAAGTAATCCGCCTGCCTCGGCCTCCTGGAGCGCTGAGATTACAGGCGTGAGCCATGGCACCTAGCCTTGGATACTTCTATTAGTCATGCCTACATGTTTAACTCTTTAAATATAATATGGAAAAGATATAACAGCATAAGCAAAATAGTCTTCAATCTTCCATATAACTTTACCTTGGGCTAGGTACAAACTTAAAACTCCTATCCTAAAATGTAATTTAAAAGATGTATTTACAAAATCATGAATGTTGATAATTCTTTCAACAGATGCTGGCCAAACTACCAGAAGAGCGGCATCAGTGATATACTCAATGTTTTTAAGAATCAGTCCTCATCTAGTTAGTGCCTCAGATTCTTTCTGGTGCCGCTGATTTTGAATATTATTGCTTTTCTTCGTTTTGTCCTAAAAGGAAGTGACTCATCAAACACACAAACTAATCCAGTTCCAATCAGGATCTATATTTTGCTTATTTTGCTTTAGGAATGAAAAGGTATATGTTACAGTATAAAATCTATTTTTATACTTGCGTGCATGAATAAGAGGATTTGGGATTATGAGTAAATGCTAATCTTAAAAAGAAATAGCAACACCTCTAAGAAAGAGACAACAAAAGAGTGAGAAAGATCCAAAACAATCCTCAGGAATTGGATGGACAATTATCAAGAGGTGACTGAAAGAATTTGGGAGTATGGAAGGAGTGCCAGGAACATTGAGACACATAATTTTATAGTGAAGCATCTCAGCACAATTTTTACCAATAATACTTAGCAGCCTAAAAGAAACAGGGAAATTGGAGACTGTAGGAAGTCAGGGCATGGGGAGAAAACGTAGCTATGAATTCGTAGTTGAAATGGTAGACACTATGTATTCTCAACTGCAAGGAGAAAATAGAAGCCAAAAAGACTAAATATATAACTAATCCAGAGGCTTTTAAAATTCTGCTTCTTTCTTAGTATGTATTGTCATGTATTTGTTTATCTTCCCTTTCTGTATGATACTATGTCTTACTTGTGTTTCACAAATGTGAGATTCCTGACCTTTTATAAGAAGGTAACAAGGCATTTTTCAAAAAGCCTTTTTTTGGAGAGGTTAAGTGGGATGGTAGAGTGGATTAAGTGGAACAAAATTCCAGTTTTTTGGCGAGAAAATATTTTTTAGTCTAAAATCCCTCTGAGACTCACTACAAACTAATTTCTTTCTGTCATTCTTCTTCCTTCTTTTGGTTTCTCTATAACTAAATTTAGTTTAAAATTAAGTTATCTATAAAGGCAGCCTTTCCATGATCGTTGGAGCACATTCTGCTCATGTTAGAAGTTCATTGTTCTTTGTTTTTAGTTATTAAGCACATACAGTAGTCCCCCCTTATCCACAGGGGATACATTCTAAGACCCCCAGTGGATGCCTGAAATTGATGATAGTACTGAACCCTATATATACTGTTTTTCCTGTGTGTACATACCTATGATAACATTTCATTTATAAGTTAAAGACACAGTAAGAGATTAACAACAATAAGAATAAATTAGAACAACTATAATAATATACTGTAATAAAAGTTGTATGAATGTGGTCTCTCTTTCTCTCAAAATAATCTTATTGTATCATAGTCACCCTTCTTGTGATCTGTCGATCTGATAATTGAGGTGACTACTAAGCGACTAATGGGTGGATCATGTCAACAGCATGGATACACTGGACAAAAGCATGAGTCATGTCCCGAGCAGGATGGAGCAAGATGGTGTGAGATTTCATCACTATACTCAAAATGGCCCACAATTTAAAATTTACAAATTATTTATTTATGGAATTTTCCATTTAATATTTTCAGACCACAGTTGACTGCAGCTAACTGAAACTGGGAAAAGAGAAACTGGATAAGGGGGACTACTGTAGTATGAAGGCAAGAAAATTTCAGGGGAAAACAAGTGGTTATTTTCTGGCCAAATGTGATACATTTTCTCTCTTAACTGGATACAGTTAAAAATAGGAAAAAAAAAAAAAAAGCCCACTTTTGAAGTGCTCAATGTGCTTAGTCTTTGTGCCAACTTCTATAGTTTTTCTTTTCTTCTGGGGGTAGGAATGGGATTAAAGGTTAGAGATTGGTTTTGTTTTTTATTTTTAAGAAAAGATGAAATTTTTAAAATCCTGGTCAAATAGTAAGTATGACAATTGAGACCAGGTGCTATACTACAGTGAGCCAGATGTGTGTATAAAACAAGAAACTGTTATTGTACAGGAAAAAAAATGCAAAAACCACAAAACCATTTTAAAATTATTATTTTTACTTTCTTTCTGTGCCGATAGCACTCCTGCAAACATGGTAAACATTCCTAAAACCCACTGGACTTTCTGTACGAAGTGTGGCAAGCACCAACCCCACAAAATGACACAGTACAAGAAGGGCAAGGATTCTCTGTATGCCCAGGGAAAGCGGTGTTACGACAAGAAGCAGAGTGACTATGGGGGACAAGCTAAGCCAATTTTCTGGAAATAAAACTACAAAGATGATTGTGCTAAGGCTTGAGTGTGTTGAGCCAACTGCAGATCTAAGAGAATGCTGGCTATTAAAAGATGCAAGCATTTTGAACTGGGAGGAGATAAGGAAAGAAAGGCCCAAGTGATTCAGTTCTAAGTGTCATCTTTTGTTTTATTATGAAGACTATAAAATCTTGAGTTTATGGCCGGGTGCGGTGGCTCACGCCTGTGATCCCAGCACTTTGGGAGGCCGAGGCGGGCGAATCACGAGGTTAGGAGATCGAGACTATCCTGGCTAACACGGTGAAACCTCGTCTCTACTAAAAATATAAAAAATTAGCCAGGCATGGTGGCGGGCGCCTGTAGTCCCAGCTACTCAGGAGGCTGAGGCAGGAGAATGGCATGAACCTGGGAGGCGGAGGTTGCAGTGAGCCGAGATCGCGCCACTGCACTCCAACCTGGGTGACAGAGTGAGACTCTGTCTCAAAAAACAAAAACAAAAACAAAAAAAAATCTTGAGTTTATATTCAAAAAAAGTATTATTTTTGCTGATGTAAGTGAATCAAGACAAGTATAACTAAACTGCTTTTAAAAACTGATACATTGAAACAATTAGAATGTGAATCATCACAAGATTGATTTTATATTTATAACAAAGCCTATAGTGTAGGCTTTAGAACATAGGCTTTAGAGCCAGATTGCCTGAATGTGTCTAGATTCCACCAATTACTAAGGGATCTTGACTAAATTACATAATCTCTCTTCCTCAGTTTCCTTTATGTTTTGAAGATCATAGTACTTAAAGCATTGCCCAACACATACTATTCAATTAGTGTTCATTTTTTAAATTAATAAATGTGTCATGAAATAAGTTAAAAATTTCATTTAAACATTGCTTGTTGTTTTCAAGGCTTACATATTTCAGAGCATATCTACATAGGGATAACCTTTGAGATGAAGAGGAATACAAAGCAAGAAATCAGTCTTTGCAGGTGACTAAATTCTGAAGTGAAGATGTTTTGTAAACCACAGAATCGGTTTGTGGTTTATCAGTGCTATAACCAGCTATCCTTTTATATAATAATACAGAAGCAGTTAAACACACCATATCATTTTTAAAAACATCATTTAAATATTTGAAAGCAGTGCATTAGTGGGTTTTTTGCCAATTCTTTTGATTTAGTTTATGACCAAATTGACCTTTTTTGAACTAAATGCCAAGCATTTTGCAGCTCTTAAATGTTGATCACATTTTGCCTTAAAATATATGTATTTGTTTATAAATGTTAACCTCCACACTAGATTGTTAGCTTCTCAAAGTTAAGGATGTAATATTACTTATCTAATACTTTATAGGTACCAGAAAAAATGTTTGTTGAATTGGTTCTAAAGTGTTTTTAAAGCCAAATAATTATAAATGTTATGCTGAATATAAATGACAACATAGTTTTATTTGTTCATTTATGCGTTAATATGTTTATTTATTTGCTGTTTTTTTCTTTCTGGGCTGCCAGATATTTTGTGTTTGTTTTGAGGCAAGGTCTGGCCTTGTCACCCAGGCTGGAGTGCAGTGGTGCGATCTTGGTTCACTGCAGCCTCTGCCTCCTGGGCTGAAGCTATTTTCCTACCTCAGCCTCCTGAGCAGCTGGGACTACAGGCACACACCACCATACCCCGCTAACTTCTGTATTTTTTTGTAGAGTCAGGGTCTCACTATGTTGCCCAGGCTGGTCTTGCACTCCTGAACTCAAATGATCTGCCCACCTTGGCCTCCCAAAGTGCTGAGATTATAGGTGTGAGCCACTATGCCCAGCCCTGCCAGAGATTTAATGTGGGCCATAGAAGGAGGAGACCATTTTAATGTTTACAGAGCATTCTTGATTTACTTTTTATATTTCTACATTTTTTAAGAACTTCCCCAGAGAGTTATAAATAATGATAGAAAGTATTTTAATTGTGCTAAAAGTTTTTCTAAAAAATAGGTTTGAGTGTGACATTTAATGTATTGAAAGCAACTAAGGAAAAAACAGGACTGACTATTCTGAGATTTGGGTTTCTGGTTAACTTTCTTTAGGCTTAATGAAAAAATGAGTTAATTACCAGCTAAAGTACATGGTAGGCTACTGCACAATGATGGAAAATTGCCCACTTAATGATATGTGTGAAAGGATAGTGAAGAAGGAGAAAAAGGGAGCCATTTTAAAATTCATTTAACTTCAAATATATATTTAAAGCCTTTTTTTAATGTTAGTAAGAACTGCCTGATTAAATGGATCCTTATAAGTCAAACTTTTATACTGAGAGTTTGATCACAGTACATGTGAAGAATAATAAACACTCTTGAAGGTGCTCACGGTCCCAGGACTGATTCCAGAGAACTAGCTACCTACCATACAGCGTCCTCTGATTCAGCCTCACAGAAGTTGTCTCACAGTTCACCATCAAAAGTAATGTCCAGAAATAACCAAGGTAGGGCTTCCAGAACAATGAGGTAAGGAATTCAGCAGACTGTCTCCTCAGCAAAGCAGCAATTTAACTGTTGAAAATTATGGAGCAAAACAAAATAAAAGTCTTTTAAAGTCTCCAAGAACCATCCTCAAGGTATACAGCAAATAGAGAATTATTCATTCAAGAAAATATACTAAATCTCAGGCTGCAGTTTCACCCTGGAGGAGTAGGCCTCTGGTGTTTTTCAGCTCTCTGCCCCTCCTCCTCCTAGCTCCATGTTGTGGAATCTCAATTCCAGGTAGGTATAGCTGAGACAACCAAGTCTCTCTTCCCCTAACCAGTCTCTAAGCGAGGCACAGCAAGTCCAGAACACGGAGGCCCACCTTCCCCTCCCTGCACTCACTGTAGGGCAGAGGTTCCCTCCCAGGAGAGGTAACCCAGAAAACCAGGGGCTGCTCCCCAACCTCAAGTGTCTAATTTTACAGCAGGGTGTCACCCCAGGGAATGGTGCAATGGTGCAGGAGCCCTGCCCAGGAGGAAAGGCAGATCTGGCTGGGCACGGTGACTCACGCCTGTAATCCCAGCACTTTGGGTGGCTGAAGCCGGTGAGTGAAGAGCTCCATAGATTTCCCTGAGAGGACTTTGTTTACTTGGGAAAGGGAATGGAGAACTTTCCGGGCTAAGTTTGTTGTTGAAAGCAATACAGATCTTGGTGAAGAGCAATTAATAGGAGGCTGATAGCTCCATAATATATCAAAACATATTACTAGTGGCACCGTCAAAACAACACAGCAGCCAGAAGTTTTAAAGAGAGAACCAAGGAAGGAGCCAAGAAGAGCCTTCCTGGGATCAAAGTCAACTGTGAGAATTCGAGAAAGCAGGGCTCATGTGCTAGGCTGCACCCTCTCAGGAGCAATTATGGTAGGATACGGGGTAGACTTGAAAGCATTCTCCATGCTGTACATAGACCCATCAACACAGGACAATAGCCTCAATGGCACAAGGGGCTTAAATTCAACATCTGACTGAAACCAATTGAACAATAAACTATTCTGACCCCTTACTCCTTGGAAACCAGGCTTTAAAGTGACATCACTGTCATCCCTGGCAGTCTGAAAAACTGTGTATATGCCCAAGGCATTTCTCTGTCAGTTGCTAGAGTGGGAATCTCCAAGCTACTAGTCCCTGGCTGAATGTGTAAAGTGCTTACCACAATATCTAGCAGATGGGTGAATTCTGATTAGTGGTAGCTATTATTATTATCATCATCTATAGTCAGAATTCTTGGTTTCAAGTGACAAAAATCCAACTCCTACTAGATTTTGGAAAATAGGAATTTATTGGCTTACGTTATGAAAAAGACCAAAAGTAGATATGCTAGCTATATCTGAGTACTTAAATTATGTCAATGAAACCGTCTCTATCCATTTCTTGGCTTTACTTTATGTTGGCTTTGTTCTTAGCAAGCTTTCCCCCCTAGTAATATGATGGCCTACAACTCACCAGCTATCTAACTACAGTTTGTTTGTTTTTTTCTCAAGCAAAAACAAAAACAACACAGAAAAAACCTGTCTCTTTTTCAATAGTTGCAGTAAAAGTCTTGGCTAGAGCTTTCATTGGCCTGTCTTGAGTTACATTTACGTTCCCAAGAAAATGAAATGTTCAGCCGGGTGTGGTGGCTCACACCGGTACTCCCAGCAATTTGGGAGGCTGAGGTGGGTGGATAACCTGAGGTCAGGAGTTCGAGACCAGCCTGGCCAACATGGTGAAGCCCCATCTCTACTAAAAATACGAAAATTAGCTAGGTGTGGTGGCAGGTGCCTGTAATCCTAGCTACTCAGGAGGCTGAGGCAGGAGAATCGCTTGAACCCGGGAGGCAGAGGTTGCAGTGAGCCGAGATCATGCCATGGCACTCCAGCCTGGGCAACAGAGCGAGACTATCTCAAAAAAAAAAAGAAAGAAAATGAAATGTTCTTATTGGGCAGGCTTGGAGCTGGGGAATGGAGACATCTTCAACCAACACGTGGACTAAAAGCAGGTAAAGTATGGTTTCCCCAAAGTTAAATCAAGTAGAATATATGGTATATATACTAGACAGGCAAAAACAGCAGACTTTCAATACTGCATATGTAATGATATGCATTAACACAACAACATGTAATACTGGACACAGGAAGACAGTTATAAGTGAATCTTAAATCGTCAACTCACTCAGCAAAAGCCTATTTATAGAATGTAGCTTGTGCCCTTTCCAAAGTGAGTAAACAGGTTCTACCAATATTAACGTGCACAAATTGTTCTGTGGGTAGAGATGTTCCATAGAAAACATCCCACTTCAATTTCTATATAATTAAATTGTCGTAACACTTGAAAAAATACAACTGAACTTAATTATCATGAGAAAGATAATCACTAAGGCATTAATTATCTCAGGCAGCATGGTACAATAGAGAATAGAAGTAAAAATCACAAGATATAAATTCTGCCAAAAATAGAGTAATAATAATTACCATATATTGAGTGCTTATTCAAAAAGGTTTTATCTGTTTTCTTATCACAACAACTCTAAAGTAGGTATTATTATACACATTTTATGGGTGAAGAAACTGAGAGTCAGTGGTTAAGTAATTTGCCCAATGTCACACAGCTGATACATGACGGAGCAGGATTTGAATCTGTCCTGTTTGCTACGAAAGCCTTGGTTTTTTGTTAATGGGCTATGGGACTTAACCTCTTCATTCCTAATTTCTAAAGTAAGAGACTGTGCTTTAATTATCTTTGAAGATGCTTCTCAAAAATCCAGTGATTACTTAAGGGTTTACCTTTAATTTCTCATCATTAATTTGGGGTATCTTTTAAGAAGGATTTTGAATCAGTTAGAACACCCCTCTATTTTTATGTATGTCTTTAATCATGGACCAAAAAAAGAGTATCACTGCTTTGGTGAGAACACTCTTCGTGTGCATGTCATAGTCAGTACTCTCTGTATAACCACAAAGGAAACTGTACATTTGACAAATGTTTTTCCATTGGGACCTCACATACAAAGAATAAATTTTGGCAAAGACAAAAGTGATTAACGATAGAACAGGAAAAAAAAGCTCCATCTATATTTCTGCACTCATGTACTGGTTTATATGTGAAGTCTTATGGGTTTGCTTATTGTTTGTTGGGGAGGTTTTTTGTTTGTTGTCTTATTGCAATTCTGCCAACCACATATCTCTTCATTCTTGCCGAGCCTTTTTTTTCACATTTGAATCTGAATTCATTACTACTTTTAAAAGCATGAAAATGTACTAACTTGCTGCAAATAGCTTTACTTAAATTTTTGTACAGGATGAAAATGAGAATTTGAGCAACTTTTCTGCTTGAATACTTTTAGGTATTCTGTAAACTGTGAGAAAAGATGTAAAGGAAAAAAGATAGTGATACTCATTTTGCTGTGTAAAATGTATTCATTCTGTGTAAAATGAAAGTGTATTTATATAGCTTATCTTTTCAGAGGTGGAATACATAAAATGTCTCTGAAAACTAAGCAGCATTAACTAGATGTTAGCTATTAATGTAATAATAACTGGAGGGTGTGTACAGTATAGGGATTAATGGTGAGTCCCCTGGAGTAAGAATAACCAGGTTCACATCATAGATCTTTCAATTACTAAGTATAGGTCAGTGTCCAGACATTTAATTCCTCTTAAACTTTACAGTTTCCTTATCTATAAATGGGGGGAAATAATAGTGCCTCCTTTACAGATTGTTGCAAAGATCAAACAAGATAATGCATGTAAAACACAATGCATGTTACATAGGAGGCACTTGGGTTGGCTTTCCTACTCTACCATTAATAGCACTACCACTGCTATTACTCTGAAAATTACAAGCATCTTGAGAGAGAATCAGACCCCCAAGAGCTCATCTGTACGTATTAGTGTCTGCTCTTAAAACGCAGTGGGTTAGGAATTATGCCGAGCATGTAAATTTTAGCTAGCAGCTGTCATATTCTGTAATTTAGTCTAGAATTTATAAATATTTCAAAAATATTGAAAAATTCACAACTATGCTCATGGGAGAATATAATGAATATTGATATTACATTTAAGTTTTCTTTGTTTTAAATTTTGGTGGGTTTTTTGCATAGTATGTTATTGTAGAATATTTCCATTGTTCCTTCAGCAAATACTTATTATGAGTCTATGATGGGCCAGGCATAGTGCAATATACAAAGTACTAATGTAAAATTTGTAAGACATGTTTCTTGCCCTTAATACCCTTAGTGGGTTCAAAGCTAGTGACAGAAAATAGATATATAAAGAAATAATTTTATAGCAAAATACTATGCTAGGCACAATAATGGTCTCTCCAAAGATGTCCACATCTTAATCCTCAGAACCAGAGAATATGATATCTTACATGGCAAAAGGAATTTTGCAGATGTGATTAAATTTAAGGACTTTGAGATGTGGAGAGTATCCTAATTATCCAGGTGGATCAAACTGATTTCACATGGGTTCTTAAATACAGAGAACTTTTAATTTGTCTTGACTTAATTCTTGTATATGGTGAAAGGTAGGGATCCAGTTTCATTCTTCTGCATATGACTAGCCAATTAAATAGGGAGTCCTCAACACCATTAAATAGGGAGTCCTTTCCCCATTGCTTGTTTTGTCTGCTTTGTCAAAGATCAAAATATTTACATGTAAGACCTCAGACTATCCTAGAAGAAAATCTAGGAAATACCCTTCTCAACATCGGCCTTGGCAAAGAATTTTTGGCTAAGCCCCCAAAAGCGATTGCAACAAGAACAAAAATTGACAAGTGGGACCTAATTAAACTAAAGAATTTCTGCACAGCAAAAGAAACTATCAACAGAGTAAACAGGCAGCCTACAGAATGGGAGAAAATTTCCACAAACTATACATCTGACAGAGGTCTAATATACAGAATATGTAAGAAACTTAAATCAACAAGCAAAAAACAAATAACACGATTTTTAAAAGGACAAAGGACATAAACAGACACTTCTCAAAGGAAGACATAAAAGCGGCCATGAAAAAATGCTCATCATCACTCATGAGAGAAATACAAATCAAAACCACAATGAGATACCATCTCATACTAGACAGAATGGCTGTTACTAAAAAGTCAGAAAACAGATGCTGGCGAGGCTGTGGAGAAAAGGGAATGCTTATACATTATTGGTGGGAATATAAATTAGTTCAGCCACTGTGGAAAGCAGTTTGGAGATTTTTCAAAGAACTTCAAACACTCTGATGTAGTTTCTTTTGCTGTGCAGAAGCTCTTTAGTTTAATTAGATCCCCTTTGTCGATTTTGGCTTCTGTTGCCATTGCTTTTGGTGTTTTAGACATGAAGTCCTTGCCCATGCCTATGTCCTGAATGGTATTGCCTAGGTTTTCTTCTAGGGTTTTTATGGTTTTAGGTCCAATATTGCAGCACTACTCACAATAGCAAAGACTTGGAACCAACCCAAATGTCCAACAATGATAGACTGGATTAAGAAAATGTGGCACATATACACCATGGAGTACTATGCAGCCATAAAAAATGATGAGTTCATGTGCTTTGTAGGGACATGGATGAAGCTGGAAACCATCATTCTCAGCAAACTATCGCAAGGACAAAAAACCAAACACCGCATGTTCTCACTCATAGGTGGGAATTGAACAATGAGAACACTTGGACACAGGAAGGGGAACATCACACACAGGGGCCTGTAGTGGGGTGGGGAGAAGGGGGAGGGATAGCATGAGGAGATATATCTAATGTAAATGACGAGTTAATGGGTGCAGCACACCAACCTGGCACATGTATACATATGTAACAAACCTGCACGTTGTGCACATGTACCCTAGAACTTAAAGTATAATAAAATATATATATATATTAAAAAAAAGAACTTCAAACAGGGCTACCATTTGACCCAGCAATCCTATTACTGCATATATACCCAAATAAAATAAATCGTTTTACCAAAAGACTCATGCTCTCATATGTTCATCATAGTGCTATTCTCAATAGCAAAGGCAGAATCAACCTAGGTGCCCATCAATGGTGGATTGCATAAAGAAAATGTGATATATATATATATATATATATATGTATATGTGTGTGTGTGTGTGTATATATATATATCACATATATTACATAATGTATATATATTATGTAATACTGCACAGCCCTAAAAAAAAAACAGTCATATCCTTTGTAGCAGTCAACATGAATACAGCTGGAGACCACTATCCTAACCAAATTAATGCAGAAACAGAAAACCAAATACCACATGTTCTCACTTATAAGTAGGAGCTAAACATTGGGTACTCATGGACATAAGGATGGCAACAGTAGACACTGGGGACTACTGGAGGGTGGAGGAAGAAAGTGGAGTGTGGGTTGAAAAACTACCTATTGGGTACTATGCTCACTGCCTGAGTGATGGAATATATACCCCAAACCTCAGCATCATGCAGTATACCCTTGTAACAAACCTGCACATGTGCCTCCTGTATCTAAAATAAAAGTTGAAAGTATTTTTAAAAGAGCTAAAGAAATAATTTAAAATTAAAACTTTTGAGGCCCCTAATTTTGTGTCCTCTTTATACAGTATTTATGAAGAATTCTATATTTCTCTGTGTTTGTTAACAACAGTTAAATGTAGGCAGTAAAAAATACAGGTGTTCATTATACCAGTGTTTCTCAAAAGGTGGCGAAAAGCTAGGTTTTTGTTTTTCAGTTCATTGCTGACTGATACATTTGTAAAATATAGTAAAAATGATGTGGTATAAAATTGCTATAAAAGTTTCTAAATTTAAAAAAAAAACTTTTTTTCACTGTAGTCAGAGGAAAATGTTAACTACTGAAGAATGGTCAAAGAGGTGCAGTACTGCTAGCTTTGAAGATGAAAGAAGAGGAGCCAAGGAATGTGGGCAGCTCTAGCAACTGGAAAAGTACGGAAATAGATTCTCTTGAGCCTCTAGGAAGAAATTCAGTCCTGCCAACATGACTTCTAATAGACAGAACTGTAAGATAATACATTTGTGTTGTTTTAAACCATTACCTTTATAATTCTTATGGAAGCAATAGAAAACTAATATTAAGTACAAGTTCTCTTTACTTGAGGAGTATATGTGGAGAAATAAAAGAAAATAAGGATCACTTTCCAAAGTTGACCCAGAAGAGCTAGGAATAATTTTTTCAAAAGACATGCAAAAGTCATTGTTCCAAAGTGGATCACATACCCTTTCCAAAACTAGCTCTAGTAAAGAGAAAATTACTCTTAGAATCATCTCTGGAACTGAGTAGGTAGAATTCACTTCACCTGAAGAATGAAGGCTGGATTTAAGGTTCTAATAGGGAAGAGGAAAGAAGACTGGATGCTAAGTAATGTCCACAACAGAAATACTGCTAATCCCATAAAAATATGTACATTGTTTTCAGATTACTGTAGTAAATAATATTTTGGAAAATAGTGCCCATCTTTGGTTTGGCCAAAAAAAAAAAGGAGCAAAGTAGAAAATCTATCAAATACTTCTCTAATGCCTGCCAGAAAAATACATGATAATTTCTTCCTGTTTATTCAACAAATATTTATTGAGATGTTTCTATATGCTGCTATTTTCAGGACATAGCGTTTGCTACATATTCATATCAGAGGATATCAGTGGCCAGCAAAAATAAATACTGTTCCTAGTTCATGAAGTTTATAGTACAGGTAGACATTAATCAAATAATGACACACATTGGCATTGAGTCAGAATGCATTGAAAGAGCATTACCTGATGCTGTGAGACTGAGTTGAAGCTTAAGCTAAGACCAAAAGGAGAGGATGCCTTAACTAAGCAAAGGAGAGAGGAAATAGTTTTTTGAGCAGAGAAAAGAGCACGTGCAAATCCCTGTGGCGAGCAAGAGCTGAAAGACCTCTGTGGCTGAAATAAAGACAGGAAGGCTGATGACAGAATGAGGCCAGAGACCCAGATAGAAGCCAGACTAAGCAGGGCCTCATAGATCATGTTAAAGATTTTGGCCTTAATCCTAAAAGCAGGATGGAGGTGGCATGATTGAATTTGCACTTGGAAAGAACCACTGTGGCTACATTGTGGTATATAGATTATAGGGGAGCTAATGGACTTGTGCAGTAGCAGTGTTAGGAAACTATTGGAATAGTCAAGAGATCTTAGTAGACTCTTAGGATTATAGCAGTAGATGGAATAGTATATACACTTTAAAGAAATACTTAGAAGGTAAAACAAAGAGAATATGGTGATGAGCTGGATGTGGGTCATGGGGAAGAGGGAGAGGGAGGGGGTCAAGAATGCCTTAGAGTTCTGACCTTTGGATGTGGCATATGGATGGTGGTACCATTCACTGACCTAGGGAGCATCAAGAGAGCCCTCGTCCTCACAAATCAGCCAGATGGTTTAAATTTTATTGTAAACAAGAACTTCTAAAAATAATTGAATCGGATGACCTTTTGATAGCTGCATGAGACAATCCAGAAAAAGCAATATGTTGTTACTTGTAGTAGTTTTGTGACACCACATGCATTTCATTGTATCTCATAACTCAAGTCATAATATAGTCCTTTCTTAATACAATTTACCCACTTGCAATATATTTGTAATAAGTTAATTCTACTTAATTATCTCAGCTTGTCAATGTTGTAAACTTAAAAAAAAAAAAATAGAAATGCACCAGTTGGTGGAAAGAAGGGAGGGATCAAACTCATCGACTATAACCGTGCAGGCCTTTACCTCAACTTATTTCAAGTATCTCTTATTCCTACAGTGAAGTGCTGGTGCTGGCTCCTACCAATCGTCAAAGAGCAAGTTGTTAAATTTTCAGGAACTTTTTGAGCTGGCTGTTAATAGTTTGAAATTGGCCACAGTGGAAGTACTAACACTACAGAAATTGGAAATCACAACAGAATTGGCAAACGCTGTAAAATAGAGCTTCCCCCAACCCCCAACAAAGCCCATTGTTAAACATTTACCAACACACCAGTCTTTGTATCCTTTAGAACTGTGTTATTTGAGAGGATATCCTAGATACATAAAATACTGTAATGAGATTGACTATAATCTCACTGATTGAAGAATATTGATCATTTTCCTTTTCCACGTTCTTTTTTTTTTTTTCTTTTGCCTGCCTGGAAACTGACACCCTTTCCACATTCTTAAATGTCTTCCTTTAGGGTTGTTTGAACCCCCTATCCAATTCATTGCTGGATATATTTGATGTTTCTACAGAACTTCATTTGTGAAGATATGTTACTTTTAGGCATTAGCCTAGTGATTTTTTTTTAAACTTTTTTCTTCTTCATCAGATTACCCAGATTAAGAAGTATTTCAGTAAGGTGGCAAAGTTTTAGAAATTACTGAATCTGGTTGATACGTATATAGGTTTATTATACTATTTTCTCTAGTTTTGTGTGTGCTTAAATTTTTTTATAATTAAAAAAAAAGAAGAAGAAGCAGGCTGCAACAGCCACAGCTTGCCCAGACCTGTCCTTACTGGGTCTTCAGCTTCCAGTCTCAATCCCACCAGCTGATCTCAAGATCTGAGATAATGTGAGCATTGCTGTCTCCTCGCCTGGCCTGATTTACTAACTCTCTGTTTTGATTTAAGTGTTGCAACACCTCCTTCTTCCCCTGAAAAACCCACAAGCATTTGTAGATTTAATTTATTTTACAAAGAATTTAAACCTTCAGACAGTACCTACCACATCCAGATTAGGGTACTTTCTTCGTACTAAAACCACAAAAATACTGAAAAAAAAAGTCTTAAAAAGCTTCAGTAACAACAAAAAAAACCCCAAAGTACAATGAGTGCATAGATTACAAGAAATTGGGAAGAGTAAAAAAAAAAATTTTTTTAAGAACTTTAATAAAAAATGAAGAAAAAAAGGCCAGAAACAGTATCAACATGCTGAACACTGGAGAAATAGAGAGGGATGAGGGATCAGCAGAATTACATACTAAATCGAGGACTCTTCAAGTTCTACCCTAAAGAAAAGAAAGCTTTAATATTAGGCAAGAATAAGGGTTTTTTTAAAATGTAGTATATTGTTATGGATCATATCAAAGTACAAGAAACATAAAATTGACCCAGTCATAATATATCAGTGAAGGAAAAAATAATTTAGAAATCAATTTTTTAAAAAAAGAAAAGATCCACAAATTATAACTTAAGAGAAAACTATCAGTATCAAAAAAGGATCACATAAATCATTTTATGGATTAGAAAACTGAAGTTCAGGAAAAGTGAAGTAATTTGGCTAAGGTCATGTCACTCAGTTAAAGTGTTGCAGCCTGGATGTGAACTCCCTAGATAACTCTACAACATTTTGTTCTTCTCACTCTTTTTCTGATAGAAGTGAAAATCCAAAAGTAATTTTAAAAATTATATAAAATAGGCCGGGCACAGTGGCTCACGCTGGTAATTCCAGCACTTTGGGAGGCCAAGGCAGGTGGATCACCTGAGGCCAGGAGTTCAAGACCAGTCTGACCAACATGGTGAAACCCTGTCTCTAGTAAATACAAAAGATTAGCCAGGCATGGTGGTGCATGCCTGTAGTCCCAGCTACTTGGGAGGCTAAGGCAGGAGAATTGCTTGAAGTGTGAGGTGGAGTTTGCAGTGAGCCGAGATTGTGCCATTGCACTCCAGCCTGGGCAACAAGAAAGAAACTGTCTCAAAAAAAAAAATTATATAAAAGTATAGCTCAAAAGTAAATCTGGCTTGAACACATGATGTAGACTCAACAAAGATGCCCCAGTGAGTCTCATTTTTCTACTACCTCATCAGTCCCCCTTGGTACTCATTACTGTACATAAATTACTAGTATATGGGAAAAGCCCATTTCTTAAAGTCATACTGAAAATCATTTTGTCTGATTTTCTATTTTAAACAAAAGTTAGATTTTTTTTCACTCTTCCCTTAAAGATTTATTTTAAACTCTATGTGTACAATAGAAAATAAGGCTTCATATAGCCATTTCTTTAATGAAAAAAATATTTTTAATTATTTACTGATCGATGACTGAAATGATCAAGCTTTGGTTTCTACTAAAAGAATGTAAGTTTGATTCAGATGTTTGAAGAATGTCTTAAAATTTCCTCAAATTCATTGGCTGTTTGTGGCAGATGATTTTGTGACACTCCCTTATAAGATAATTAATTTTGCTTTCCTTTGGCCTATACGGCATACTTAATGGTATTTAATACTTATTATGTGAAGCCCTATATCTAAAGGCTTTTTAAACGTATAATAAATTCTCCATCATGTACATACTATGAGCAAATAATTCAATAATTATTTGAATCATGCCTCCTAAATAAAATATATTTAAATAAATTATAATTATCTCACCTACATGACAGTTTTTCTTTTGTGATTCTACTAGGGTCTGGGGCGGTGGGGAGGGGGAGAGAAACTATACCAATTATTTTAACAAAGATAATTTAATATAAGTAATTGTTAACTGGGTATTGGAAAAGCATGGTCACCAGATCAGCATCATAAGCATCACCTAGAAACTTCCTAGAAATGCAAATTCTCAGACTCCAACTTCACCCCTGACTTACTGAATCAGAAACTCTAGTAGTAGGCCCAGCAAGCTGTGCTTTAACAAGCCCTCCAGCGGATTCTAACGCATGCTAAAGTTTAAAAACCACTGCACTAAAATATCACCAAGACAACCACTCATAGGACTGGGCAGAAAGAAAAAGAGATGGATGGACTTACTGAAACTGAGAAGCTTCAAAAAGGCCCCCATGGAACTGAAATTCAGACTTTTGAGAACAGGTCACTGCTTGCCTGGTACTGATTTCTCTGAGTTCAGAGGAGGGAGCCTATAGACCTGGGAACCAGGTATCTGAGGAAGAAGCACCCAGTAATTGGAGCTGGCATCTCAAGAAGGCACATTGAGATTGGTTCTACAAGTGTTGGAAAACCCCCAAATTGCAATCAGCTGCTACTACTAGCAGGCACTATTGCTGTCGGAGTGAAGAATTGTTGCTAGAGTGAGACTTAACAGGATTAAGAAACCCATCCGAAGGAAACAGCAAATTCCTTCTTCCTTCTCTACCTGTGAAGTGTCACGCTGGTCCCTCTATTGGCAGAGCCTAACAGGGAGACAGAAATGCTTGCAGAATTCCAAAGAGTGGGTTTGAAGCCAAGAGACAGTAGCTTACTGTCATGGCCTTAATTATAATACAAGTGGAAGATAATAGAAATAATACTTTAGGTATGTATAATTGGGTGCATGTAGACATTTTCTGGGATACTAACTACTGGGTAGACATTTGGCCTTATTGTAAAAAAAAAAAATTTGTATTAAAACTATTTGTTTCTCCTGATGAAATTAATAAGAGGCATTTAGGGCATCTATATAATGAACAGGAAACTATGCAAGGGCCTGCGCTGAAGTCTGCTTAGCTGAGCCTAAGACAAAGATCACAGCAGTAGTGGCTGAGGATTGCTCAATAATAACAGCAAACATGCTTTGGTCATCTGAGGCTCGGTTTCTTAACGTCTTAGTGTCAAAGGAACCGTCTAAAAAGAATCTTACCAGGACAGAGCAGTCAGGCCTTGCCTCATAAAACAGGAGGGTGGCAGAAAAGGGTGTTCTGAAATCATGGTCACTCACAAGAGAAATACAAACATGATTCTTCACTTAAGCAGTCATTTTTGTGCAATTCCAGGATCAAAAAGAACATTCCCATTGTGTTAACAGGTACTTGTAGAATAATTATCAGAAGTATGCCCAGCACTTTGGAAGATGAAGAACTAAGGTTCTTAAAGACGTTTACATATTTCTCATGTTATGTTCATGTTTTGTCTTTTTTTTTTTTTTTAAAGGATGTTGAAGACTCACAGAACCACACTGGTGAGCCGGTTGGAGATGACTACAAGAAAATGGGAACACTTTTTGGTGAACTGAACAAAAACCTTATCAACATGGGCTTCACAAGGATGTATTTTGGAGAACGAATAGTGGAACCAGTAATAGTCATTTTCTTTTGGGTTATGCTGTGGTTCCTTGGCCTGCAAGCCCTTGGACTAGTTGCTGTTCTTTGCCTTGTTATTATTTATGTGCAACAGTAAAACATGGCCGAATTGAATTGTTTGACATTTGGTAGCCATATATGTAATTGAAGAAGTTATATATTTCACTTTTTGACAACCGAAAAAGTTTGCCTTGTTTCAAATCATGTGCTGGCTGTTTTGTAAGTAAATTTATACATGGATGTCACTTAAAACTAAACTCTTGATCATAACAGGGTTGAATATATATTTTGAATATACATTAGCTTATTCAAAACTCTTGTTTCACTACTGTGATCTCTGTCTCCTTTATACACCTCTATCCCCATGCCAAATCTTAAGTAACACCACCAGAAAGTGAACAGGGAAAATAACAGGACATGGAATTCAAATCAAGCAATATAGTTCTTATAAAGAGTTCCAATAAAACATTTCAGAAGAAAAAGTATGAAACAAGCTAAAAGTAAGTTTCACTTAGAAAACTTCTCCCCACTCACACTCCCCACCAAATAATCTCATATTATTTGGGAAATATTTGGATTTCAATTGTCCCTACCCAGCCTAAACTAAGGTAAATGATAATTAGCATACACTACCTTAATATTGTGATGAAAATCAGTAAAGATAGAACGTTTTCTAAAGGTCAAAAATAATATATTTATTATTACTGGGGAAAGCTCCCAGGTTAAATATAACTTTTTTAAAATGTAACATTTGGACCTAGACCTACTTTAATATATCATTTGAAGTTTCAGACAATTTTGGTGCTAATTACTTTTTGTGAGTTTTTAAAGTCTCATAGCCTAGTTGACTGCACCCTATGGTAATGCCATATTTTCTTGTATCTAACAAGTTGCATATTTTTTCCTAGAGAGACATTTTCAGTGTATTTTTTTTTAGAAATTTATAATTTTATAGTTCTTTCATAACACTTATTCTGAGTTTTGAAACAATGTATTTCCTATCTTGACATGGATTTTTTCACAAAAAATTTGTATTTTACTGTTGTTTTCAGGAAAAAAATCAGATCATTTTTCTTTGATATCTATATCAGAAAGGTACAATATTAACAGTATAAAACCAAATGCTTAAATTTGGAACTTAGCCAATTTTGATAATCTTTTTCTAAGGCTAAAGTCACATCAGTAATTGGCTAGCCATGTTATTAAGGTGTCTTAATTCAGCATTTTCAGGTTTTATATTGAAATACGCATTTCTTTAAATATTCTTTGAAAATGGAGAATGGCTTTAGTGATATTTTGGGTTTTGTTAGAGAACCTAAAATCTTTACACTTTCATCTCAAAGATTATAAAGGAAAGGGGGGTAGTTAAGATTTAGAATTCAAGTTAAATTTCAGAAATTGGGGCAGTCAGGCATTTGTATCTTTGGTAGGGCAACAAGTAAAACATGTAGAGTGCTTGCTATCCCACTTCATAAAGCTTTTACCCAATCTTATTTCTAAACCTCTGTGCATTCTTAGTGTCTTCTCATTCTGAAACAGAAAATAAGGAAAAACATTTAACTTAGTTTTCTAAAATCAGATAATCCTAAACAAAAATGTTAGTCAGGGTCACTAAAAAGTATTGCACATTTATATAAATACAGTCCTTTTAAAATTTGACTTTTAAAAAACAAAAGACTTTGTACGATATTGTGTTTTTATTGCTTTTGCAATATTTTTATAGTAGCCTTTATGAACTCAGTATAAGTGCAAGTTGTTTGAAAAGGTGTTTTTATTAGTGCACAATAGAATTGTGAGGTTTTCAATAGATGTCATGAGATTTTGTATATCTACATAAAATATCAGTACATTTTTTTCTAATGCTACTGGAAATTTTACTTTTCCTTTGCAACACATAAATGATATGATGTACAAAATAACAGCTCTGGTTCCACCAGTACCTAATGTTGAAAACATTTTTAAAGTAATTTTTAATACTAACTATTTAGTATACTGTCAGTACTGTACATCTGCACACTGGTGTTAATAGGGTATATATTAAATTATATAAAGAAATAAGATATTTTGCTGTTATTCTTTCTACATATATTATTGGTCAGTACATCAAATAATATTTGGCTTTGATATGGGAAAAAACAAACTTTGCCTATGTAATGGAAATAAAATATTTTCTTTTATGAAATATATTAGAATGCAGATTATACTAATATCCTGAAATAAAACTGGTAATTTATTTGGTTCATGGTATAAAGAATTAGATTGGGCCGGGCGCGGTGGCTCACGCCTGTAATCCTAGCACTTTGGGAGGCTGAGGCGGGTGGATCACAAGGTCAGGAGATCGAGACCTTCCTGGCTAACATGGTGAAACCCCATCCCTACTAAAGGTACAAAAAATTAGCCGGGCCTGGTGGCAGGTGCCTGTCGTCCCAGCTACTCAGGAGGCTGAGGCAGGAGAATGGCGTGAACCCGGGAGGCAGAGCTTGCAGTGAGCACTCCAGCACTCTGGGTAACAGAGTGAGACCCCATCTCAAAAAAAAAAAAAAAAAAAAAAAAATTGGATTGAAAATGATTCTCATCATTTCAATCTCAAATACAAGCCAGTTTTAGAAACTGTTATTGCTTATGAATAAAGAAATAGAAGTTACAATGCTAAGGTTATTACATAATGCATACTCATATGGCCAGTAATTCAAAAGAAAAAGGTCGAAGTCTACAAATAAACAGACTGTAGATGAGTAAATCCATTTTTCTTAAAGTAAAAACTCTGTATTTTGTAGAATTCTGTCCTCTCATACCTTAAGCTGTCATGGGCAAGGTATTTTCCCATTCCTGGCTACAGGCAGATCATTCCTAGTCCAGTAGTGTGCTGGAGCAAGCTTGCACTGGCTTACAAGAGCCAACTGTGAACATTTTTTCTGCCTTCAGTGCTGTCAAGTTGGTAGTTTGAAATTGGCCATGGTGAGAGTATTTACACCAAAAAAATTAGTAAACACTGCAAATCAGATCTTTTTTTTTTTTTTTTCCTTGAAAGCCAGCTGTTAAACATACATCAGCACACCCTAGAGGCCACATTCCCATTTCTATTCCTACAGATACGAAAGTAAAGAACAGAACACATTTTGTGAAATAAAAGAAAGCATATGAGGTAAATCCCCATCGACCCACCCAAAACTGAATCTGGCTCTTTCCCTTGTGGGTATTATGGTTCATGGTTATCTTCTGACCAACAAATCTCTATTTAATCATGTTTTGACCACAGAAAATCTCTCTAGGCTGTCACCAAGCTGTAAATCCACTAAAGACTATCCAGGCAATCAGGAAAGGCAAAACTTACAGAATGATAGAGGAAAAATTACAGTATAAGTAAAGGTCTGTTGTAATATAGAAAGCTCAAAATAGTCAAAGCCAGGTTTGGAGCAATCAAAGGCTATTCGTGTGGTTCATAGATTGTTTTAATAGTTATTTTACAAATGTTTATTAATTTCAGGTGTTTAAAATGCTTTCATTACCAATTTATGGCTTTACAATTGAAGGGAGAAAAAAAAATGTAAGACGGCCAGGCGCGGTGGCTCATCCCTATAAAAGTGCTGGGACAGCACTTTGGGAGGCCGAAGCGGGCGGATCACCTGAGGTCGGGAGTTCGAGACTAGCCTGACCAACATGGAGAAACCCCGTCTCTACTAAAAAAAAAAAAAAAAAAATACAAAATTAGCTAGGCGTGGTGGTGCATGCCTGTAATCTCAGCTACTCAGGAGGCTGAGGCAGGAGAGTCGCTTGAACCCGGAAGCCAAAGTTTGCAGTGAGCCAAGATTATGCCCTTGCACTCAATCTGGGCAACAAGAGCGAAACTCCATCTCAAAAAAAAAAAAAAAAGACTTTCATGCCTGGTAATAGAGTTGGCCGAGAAGAATATAAACTTATTTACAAACTATGACTTCAGGAGTATTGGTGGATTAGAGGTCATTTGCAACTCTTGTCTCTCTGCCCAACATTTAATTTTTGGTATGCGTTGGAGTTCAGTCCAACAGCCTGCTCTCACATCACTCCACACAGCAGCTCGGCAATGTCACCACTCCCGTGGCTGCAGAGTTACCATTTGCATCCTAACAGCTCCCCAATTTGCATCTCTAGATCAGAGCACTGTACAGAATTTAAGACTCCTACATTCAATTGCTTGCCCAATATTTATTTGCATTTGGTTATCCCATAGTACCCAAGACTCAGCGTGTCCAAACGAGCGCAGCATCCTTCTCCCAAATCTTTAATTCCTGTTTCCCATCTCAGCAAATGACACAATCCTTTCCCTAACTGCTCAAGCAGGAGTTGTAGATGACATCCTTGACTCTGTGTTTCCTACACTACCTACATGTAACCAAGTACCAAATCTATTTTACTTCTAAAAATATAATCTTTCTACTTCTATTCATTCCTAGCATCACTGAGTCCATTCTGCCATCATCTCACCTGGCATGCTGAGAATCCTGATTAGCCTCCCTACCTTCATTTTCCACTTTGTAGTTACAGATCTTTCTAAAGAATTATTCTAACATGATTCTGATATCCTTGACCTAAATCTTTTCAATGGCTTTCTGTTTTCGTTATGATAAAGTCCTTATGCCTTAATATGTTTTACAAGGCTCTTCATGTACTGGTTCTTGCGTACCTCATCTCTCTATACTGCCACTCTCCATTTCCAGGATTCAACTATACTGAACTTTTCCCCAGTTCCTTTAAAGAGACATGCTTTCTTACTTCCAGAACTTTGTACATGCTTTACTTCTTTAACTGCTCCCTACCAGACTGACCAATATCTACACAGCCTTAAGACCTCAAGTGAGACATCATGTCCTCCAGGGAAACTTCTCTGACTCCTTTAAATCCAGTTTTGGTTCTTCATTATGGCTTGGTTTCTCAAGTGCAACCCTGTGCTTTCCAGGTCAGCACTTCTCATGCTATATTGCAATAGCTTATTTGTCAGCTGCTGCTTTAATAATTGATTAATTATTAAATTAATCAATAGGCTTCACAAGGGAAGAGAACATGTCTGTCATTCTATAATTGCATTGCTAGTGCCTAACACAATGCCTGGGACATAATAGGCCATCAAAATATTTATCAAGTAAACCCACTTCATCTACTCATGGTCTTCATATAGACCACTAACAAAAAAGATCTAGAGCTGGTTGTACTTTGAAGTTCTTTGACTCCAAAAGTATACTTACTGTGCACAAAGAGCATGGGTTGATGTATACATTATAATTTATAAAGCTATTCACTTCTGATAAAAGAATACTGCTGTTATTTGGATACATACACAGTATTTCCACTATACACTTGTGTATTTTAGGAGAAAATGTATTTTCAATGTTTGGTTGATTCACTATTTTTCCAAAAAGGATATTTTACAATACCTACGGTCACTGATACTACCAGAACTTCACTTTTGTTCAGTATTTTTTAATAGACCTTTATTTACTACATTTTAATTTTTTAATTTTTTTCTTTTATTTTATTGTTATTATACTTTAAGTTTTAGGGTACATGTGTACAATGTGCAGGTTAGTTACATATGTATACATGTGCCATGCTAGTGTGCTGCACCCATTAACTCGTCATTTAGCATTAGGTATATCTCCTAATGCTATCCCTCTCCCCTCCCCCCACCCCACAACAGTCCCCAGAGTGTGATGTTCCCCTTCCTGTGTCCATGTGTTCTCATTGTTCAATTCCCATCTATGAGTGAGAACATGTGGTGTTTGGTTTTTTGTCCTTGCGATAGTTTACTGAGAATGATGATTTCCAATTTCATCCATGTCCCTACAAAGGACATGAACTCATCCTTTTTTATGGCTGCATAGTATTCCATGGTGTATATGTGCCACATTTTCTTAATCCAGTCTATCATTGTTGGACATTTGGGTTGGTTCCAAGTCTTTGCTATTGTGAATAGTGCTGCAATAAACATACGTGTGCATGTGTCTTTATAGCAGCATGATTTATAGTCCTTTGAGTATATACCCAGTAATGGGATGGCTGGGTCAAATGGTATTTCTAGTTCTAGATTCCTGAGGAATCGCCACACTGACTTCCACAATGGTTGAACTAGTTTACAGTCCCACCAACAGTGTAAAAGTGTTCCTATTTCTCCACATCCTCTCCAGCACCTGTTGTTTCCTGACTTTTTAATGATCGCCATTCTAACTGGTGTGAGATGGTATCTCATTGTGGTTTTGATTTGCATTTCTCTGATGGTCAGTGATGGTGAGCATTTTTTCATGTGTTTTTTGGCTGCATAAATGTCTTCTTTTGAGAAGTGTCTGTTCATGTCCTTTGCCCACTTTTTGATGGGGTTGTTTGTTTTTTTCTTGTAAATTTGTTTGAGTTCATTGTAGATTCTGGATATTAGCCCTTTGTCAGATGAGTAGGTTGCGAAAATTTTCTGCCATTTTGTAAGTTGCCTGTTCACTCTGATGGTAGTTTCTTTTGCTGTGCAGAAGCTCTTGAGTTGAATTAGATCCCATTTGTCAATTTTGTCTTTTGTTGCCATTGCTTTTGGTGTTTTAGACATGAAGTCCTTGCCCATGCCTATGTCCTGAATGGTAATGCCTAGGTTTTCTTCTAGGGTTTTTATGGTTTTAGGTCTGACATGTAAGTCTTTAATCCATCTTGAAATAATTTTTGTATAAGGTGTAAGGAAGGGATCCAGTTTCAGCTTTCTACATATGGCTAGCCAGTTTTCCCAGCACCATTTATTCAATAGGGAATCCTTTCCCCATTGCTTGTTTTTCTCAGGTTTGTCAAAGATCAGATAGCTGTAGACATGCGGCGTTATTTCTGAGGGCTCTTTTGTGTTCCATTGATCTATATCTCTGTTTTGGTACCAGTACCATGCTGTTTTGGTTATTGTAGCCTTGTAGTATAGTTTGAAGTCAGGTAGCATGATGCCTCCAGCTTTGTTCTTTTGGCTTAGGATTGACTTGGCGATGCGGGCTCTTTTTTGGTTCCATATGAACTTTAAAGTAGTTTTTTCCAATTCTGTGAAGAAAGTCATTGGTAGCTTGATGGGGATGGCATTGAATCTATAAATTACCTTGGGCAGTATGGCCATTTTCACGATATTGATTCTTCCTATCCATGAGCATGGAATGTTCTTCCATTTGTTTGTATCCTCTTTTATTTCATTGAGCAGTGGTTTGTAGTTCTCCTTGAAGAGGTCCTTCACGTCCCTTGTAAGTTGGATTCCTAGGTATTTTGTTCTCTTTGAAGCAATTGTGAATGGGAGTTCACTCATGATTTGGCTCTCTGTTTGTCTGTTATTGGTGTATAAGAATGCTTGTGATTTTTGTACATTGATTTTGTATCCTGAGACTTTGCTGAAGTTGCTTATCAGCTTAAGGAGATTTTGGGCTGAGACAATGGGGTTTTCTAGATATACAATCATGTCATCTGCAAACAGGGACAATTTGACTTCCTCTTTTCCTAATTGAATACTTTTTACTTCCTTCTCCTGCCTAATTGCCCTGGCCAGAACTTCCAACACTATGTTGAATAGGAGTGGTGAGAGAGGGCATCCCTGTCTTGTGCCAGTTTTCAAAGGGAATGCTTCCAGTTTTTGCCCATTCAGTATGATATTGGCTGTGGGTTTGTCATAGATAGCTCTTATTATTTTGAGATACGTCCCATCAATACCTGATTTATTGAGAGTTTTTAGCATGAAGCGTTGTTGAATTTTGTCAAAGGCCTTTTCTGCATCTATTGAGATAATCATGTGGTTTTTGTCTTTGGTTCTGTTTATATGCTGGATTACATTGATTGATTTGCGTATATTGAACCAGCCTTGCATCCCAGGGATGAAGCCCACTTGAACATGGTGGATAAGCTTTTTGATGTGCTGCTGGATTTGGTTCGCCAGTATTTTATTGAGGATTTTTATTTTTAATTTTTTGTTTTGTTTTTTGAGGCGAAGTCTCGCTCCGTTGCCAGGCTGGAGGGCAGTGGCACGATCTCGACTCACTGCAACCTCCGCCTCCCAGGTTTAAGCAATTCTCCTGTCTCAGCAGGAGTGGTTGGGATTACAGGCACATGCTGGCATGCCTGTATTTTTGTATTTTTAGTAGAGACGGGGTTTCACCATGTTGGCCAGGATGGTCTCAATCGCTTGACCTCATGATCCGCCCGCCTCGGCCTCCCAAAGTGCTGGGATTACAGGCGTGAGCCACTGCACCCGGCCTACATTTTAATTTTTACAAAAAACTCTTAAACTTTTTTGTGAGCAGAAATTCTCAAGTATCGAAGCGTGGTGTTTTAGGCTCCAGAAGAAATCCACTATTACAGTGTCCTAGTAGCCCAGACATATGTGTTAAATGACATGTATATACTTTGTTATTCTTTCTAATAAATAATACTCTTTTACAACTCTGCCTTCTGAGTGTCTCTTCCAACTCCCTATCACATGTTCTACTTACCAGTTAATGGCTGCCACATCCAGTTTGGAATGACCAAAGCAACAACAAACATCTGAGGGTGAACAGAGGTTATCTTTTTTCCTTATCCCTATTGCTGGAACAGAATGCCAAGACATGACATGTATGGCTTCCCAGGAAAGGAGAAGTGGGAAAACCAAGATCAAGACCAACCTCTGCCTCCAAGCTGTATTTTTCTTCTTTCTGTTGGCTTGACTATTGTGTAAGTTAGAATTATCGAATAAACTCTGCAGAAGCCTGCTAGCGATCCAAAACATATTTATGTTTATTAAATTTGAGTTATCTTTTCAGCAATTAAAGTTTATCATTTAATCTTTAATTGACTTAGTTGGAAATTTCTTTGCCAGTTTTCCAAAACACCATAGAATACAGTAACTTGTATCATAAAACCATGGACCTTTTTTGCTATTGGTTTCCCCCAGTATTATAAGAGGCTAGTTTATAGTCTATTTTTAATGTGAGGTGTTTAACGTAAGAAAATTTTATATACAATGTACTTATTAATACCACAGTTAAGACAAACACTTTAAAAGATTTTTCTGGGAGTAGCAGGATATGTAATGACATTATCCATATTTGAAAATATGTACCATCTACTGAATGCCCTTCTCTGGTCTGTCATGATTGTTTCTGTTAATGTTTTCCTCATTTTTTAGGTATAAAATTCTAAAAATAGTCATGATTAGTTTTTCCATGAGGCCACAGCACCAGGTAGCCACAGCAGGCTACTTCTGAAGGACCCTAAGTCATAATTTTTTAATATATTTTCTGTTTTAAAGGGCACAAGAGTTATGTATGTAAACAGAACATATAAATAAAGGTTAAGAAGAAACAGGTACAAAAGGAAAACACCCTCCCTGGGTATTACTTTGGAGAGATGAACCTAAATAAATTCATCTTTCACAAAACTCTAATGATGATTTTTCATATGAGGTGAAGCATTTGTTTAATAGACCAGTGGTTTTTAAAGATTTTTAAATTTAGTTTACATAAAATCTTACACAAATATCACATATAGGATACCTAAATATCATTTATATGATAAAAGAGCTGCTATGATTGATTTTACTGTAGGTCAAAGTTCCCTGGGAAGCAGACTTGGAAGAAATTAGCATGCAGAAAGTATACTAGAGAGTGCTCTGGGATTGGCACCTGTAAGGGAAGTAAAAGATGCAAGACTGGACAGAGGGGGTTAAGCAATACGGTCACAACAGGGCCACAACTCTATGGGGTGCTTTGAAGCTAGGATGGTCCTTTAGAGTTGTTTCATGGTGAGAGAAGACAGCTCTCTCCTGCAAAAAGCAATTCCCAGGGAGAGCTGACAGCTGGGGATTATCAAGCAGCACTCCCAGCAGCTATCAAAATAAATCCTTTGGTTCTGAAGGGAGGATTTGAGCAGCAAAATGTAGCATCTACTATAGAGTCCATTCTTTTCTTATCTTGTCCTCCATGGTACCTCAGTCACTTTCAAAAACCTTAGTCTTCAGAGTACCATACAAAAATCACTGATTTAAATCATAAACTCATTGACTAAGATGGCTTAAAAATTGGGGGAATACTGGCCGGGCGCAGTGGCTCAGGCCTGTAATCCCAGCACTTTGGGAGGCCGAGGCGGGTGGATCACGAGGTCAGGAGATCGAGACCATCCTGGCTAACACGGTGAAACCCCGTCTCTACTAAAAATACAAAAAATTAGCCGGGCCTGGTGGCGGGCCTCTGTAGTCCCAGCCACTCGGGAGGCTGAGGCAGGAGAACGGCCCCGGGAGGCGGAGTCTGCAGTGAGCCGAGATCGTGCCACTGCACTCCAGCCTGGGCGACAAAGCAAGATTCCGTCTCAAAAAAAAAAAAAAAAAAAAAAAAAAAAAAAAACTGGGGGAATACCTACACCTTTAGTCTGTTGTGTTGCCTAGCTTCTACCATAAGATTCGGTATTCAGTTATGATAAAGCTTTAGTTGACTTAACAGTATGTCCAGAAGCAAAAAATGGCTTGCCTCTGTTAGGAATAGGTAAAAAAAAAAAAATGGTTGACAAGAAAGCCCATTACTTAAAGCTAGGAGTAGGAAGTCAATGACATTTTGTACATATAAACTGCATAGACCAGTATTTAAGCTAATAAGTCTGCCAGATGGGGCCTCACAAGATATCAGGACAAACCATCATTAGGGCATGTCATGGGAGCTGGATAGGTTCAAGCACAGACGTAGGTAAGTCTTTCCAGAACTCTGATTTGTGCTTTCTGGCCCCCTCCCCAAGTTCCCAAAGCAGTTTTAATCCTCAAACTTTTGGAGCATGTTCGAAATAAGATTTTCAATGGCAGAAAAGAACTCACTTCAAAGAAATCATATGCTGTGCCCCCACCCCAAAGCACTATTGGAACTGATGTATGACTTGGAGATTTGGCTCTAATCCTGACTTTTCTATTTATTTTTAGAACATAGGGTCTCATAAGCCAGATTTGGTGAATCAGTAAGCACTCAAGAGCTTTCTCCAGTCTTAGTCCAGAATATTTTGGGGGCTCCCTAATAGAGTCTTAGGAGTGGGCATGATCAAGGAAGACAATGACCCCAACCCAGTTATGCACAAAAACTACAGTAGTGTTGAGGCATGCTTTTCCTCTTCGGTTATAGGAAAATTTTAGAATAATGTCCAAACAAACTTCCAGGTAAAAGATACTCTTTATGTCAGACCTGAATTTAAGACTTGGTTCTGCCATTTACTCGGTGTAGAACTTGTACAAGTAATACATCTTTTTAAACTTCAAGTCCCTCATCTGTAAAACGAGGTAATTTTTAAGACGGCATAAGTTACTAGGTATCTTATCATAGTGCCTTGCATATAGCAAGCTTTCAATAAATGCTGGTCATTATCATTAAACATTCACACATGATAAATGAGATGACCTTCTTCACTACCCATGGAAAGCTCATATAGTGAGAGCCACAAAAGGTTTAGTTATTTTATTGTTGACAAAAGATAACTACAAGGGAATTCTATTACACTGCTCTTCTGTTCCCAATCACTCATGATTGAAATCTTTGTGAAATCTTTTATTTCTACTATGAGTGCTTCATGAGTTAAAATGATCATAAAAATAAGGAATAAGCCAACAAGTTAATGAACAGAAATAAAATGTGCTTTGTGCAACCATACCTTCTTTAACAAGATGCATTGTTTTCTTGAAGCCTCTATTTGCCACAATACCATGCACTTTCTGTTGCCTCTTTGCCTTGGAAAACTTAGGTGCAGAACCACACTCAACAATTCACACACGATTCTGCTGTGGGTTTAAACATTTTCAAAATGATATCAATTCTGAAAATACTTAGCTCTAAATTTTCCTGCATTTCATAAACATACTATTAGGGTATGTTTATAGAATAATATGTATCTTGCTTTGGTTTTAAAATGAAATTTCAAATTAATTTGTTTGTCTGTGCTATATTGTCAATACACACTTAAAAATGTTTGACCAAGATAAATATAATTATACCCAGAATAACCTGTATTCAAAATGTATACCCTATATTAGTACTCTCACATAAAATATCCAGCCCACATCAAAACATATGGATACATTCTATATAAAAGTAGATAATATAAGCCAGGAATGGTGATTAATATGGATTAATATGTATTAGTAATATGTTCATAAAGTCTTATCTTTTTAGTCTGAAAACATGCTACATGCATATTATGATTTTAATTAGTCTTTTTCTATTTTAGCAAACCTTCAGTTACATTGTTCCCTCCTGGACTTCCCTTTCATATTTCCTTTTCTTTCAAGTATTTCTCCCTACCTGAAAAGTGGAAGTTTCTCAAATCAGATGTTTATGAAAAGTTATGGCATATCTTTAGTGCCATCTCTTAGTACACTTCAAAACTGGTTCTCCCACATTTTCCTTAACTGTCAATTTATGCTTTCAGATATTTTTATAAGATGCTCAGATAGAGCTGATGTTGGCCCATACAGTTCTCCAGGCATTTCTCCATTTTTCAAATTGTGAGAAACATTTCTTGAGAACTCCTTTCCTGAATACCTGATCTTCACAATCACCTCTCTGTAATGGAAATATACTGTGCTTTTTCTTCCCTTACCATATCACTGACTGTCGATGAGACAGATTTTCTTCCACTATCTTGGCTTGCAAAAGCCCTAGGCTAACAAAGAAGACATTATTTTTGCAATGGCAGAAAGACTTAGAAACAAAAAGACCTGGGCTATAAAATTTGTTTTAAATTACAGGTGCTTTACTGGCACCATTTACTGATGCTAGGTGGTGCTCCTTCATTTCTGCCAAATCAAGTAAGAAACTGCTAGTGGGACTATTTTCTTTACCAGATGAGTCATTTCTCTTCATCAATCACTTTCAGAAATGTTCATACCAGGAAAAGTGGCACTGGTAAATTCTCAAACTGAAATGCAACTCTATGACACACCATCTGCTGCTAACTTTTTTCTTTAAATATAGAGCATGGGACATCAGAATGAATTCATCTTTGGCTTAATATAGATACAGATGAATAAATACAGAAATAATTATAGCTATGTATGTATACAAGGGGTTAGTATACTGCTCATATCTTTCCAAATTGACATGGTCTAGAAACACCACCACCCCCACTAGCATATCAGCACCCATCTCTTTGTTTCTAATACCATTCTGTAATAAGGGTAATCAAGGTTCCCTGGAGAAATGGCTGATTCTAGGGCTAGACAGGGAAAGTGAAAGATGAGCCTGGAAAGTAAAGAAAGCTAAAACATTCTCTCTCTTTCTCTCTGTCTCTCTCTCTCTCTCATACACACACACACACACACACACACACACACACACACACACAAGAGAGAGAGAGAGAGAGCACAACAATTGAAAGAGTTTCCAAAAAACCAAAGCTGGAACAATTTAAGCAACAAAATATATAAAGTAGTATTGAATTGTAACCCAAAGTATAAATATTCACAAGTTTATCCTGATAGAAATAGATGATTACATAAACAAATTAATAAAGGAGAATAGACAAATATCTTACACAGAATTTCCAAAGAATTTATATAGATACTGCCCTTTCAGGTAGGTGGAGCACAACTCCCTAATCCATGAGAATTACTTTCCAAAGAATACAGAATTGAAGGCAGTAGGGAGAGTAGCTTGATAGGGGAGAAGCCTGACAAATATTACTTCAGCCAGGTCATCAAACTTGGTATCATCAGTGATAAGTCATGTTGATAGCATATACCTTTGATAGGTTGTTATGGAAATGCCACTTTATATCTGTGGTCTTCCACTCCAGAAACCATAACCCCAGGCTAATCATGAGGAAAACATCTGACAAACCCAAATTGAGGATCATTTTATGAAATATCTGAGCAGTACTCCTCAAAACCTTCAAGGTCATCAAAAACAAGTCTGAAAAACTGTCACAAACCAGCGAAGACTAAGGAAACATTATGATTAAATGTAATGTGGTATCCTAGATAGGATCCTGAAACAGAAAAAGAACATTAGGAAAAGGTAACGCATTCTAAAAGAAATATGGACTTCGATTAATAATAATGTATCAATACTGGTTTAGTTGTAGCAAATGTACTGTAAGTATGAACGTAGACATAAGATATTAACAACAGGAAAAACTGTATGCTGGATAGACAGGAACCCTCTCTATAATCTTTGCAACTTTTCTGTTGCAAAAATTTAATTATCTGCATTACTAAATACTTTTTTTAAAAATAATTTTAGGCCGGGCGCAGTGGCTCACGCATGTAATCCCAGCACTTTGGGAGGCCGAGGTAGGTGGATCACTTGAGGTAGGGGGTTCGAGACCAGCTTGGCCAACATGGTGAAAACCCATATCTACTAAAAAAAAAATACAAAAATTATCTGGGCGTGGCAGCGCACGCCTGTAATATCAGCTACTCAGGAGGCTGAGGCAGGAAAATTGCTCGAACCCGGGAAGCAGAGGTTGCAGTGAGCTGGGATCGCGCCACGGCACTCCAGCCTGGGTGACAGAGCAAGACTCCGCCTCAAAAAAAATAATAATAATTTTAACAAATTCCACTTTAACCGTTAGTCATGTCAGTAACCACATATTATCTCCTTTTCTATATAAATATTCCTTTGCGCTATGAGACAACATAAGTTTCTAATGACTTTTTCACCCTCTTCTTTTTATACATTTCAAAGCAGCAGTATAAAATTCACATTAATACTCCTTTGAAAAATTATCGCTCTATGACATATCAAACATATTAAAATAAATATCTACAAGTTTATAGTGATATAAATAAATTATTGCATGAGAAATTAACAAGGGAGAATTTCATGTGAGCATTTTATTTATGTTTAATAATTTCTTAGGTGAGGGAGAAAGGATAGGAATCTAAATGTCCTAATACAAACCAATTAGCTCACACCCAAAAGAGTCTTTGAGTTTGACATATACTCCTAGAAGTTCCTCCTGGGTGTGGGGTCCTTGGTCCATCTGTGAATCCCAGGAAGACTCCCAGGATATTTCCAAAATACCCTAGAAGTTGACAAGCTGTTGTTGTGCCTGAACCCCTGTGGATGCCACTGGGAATGGCACCAGGCTCAAGAAGCTGAAGAAGAGAACCAGAGCCAGCAAACGAGACATACATTTTATTGGGGGCTTACATACAGGGGAAGGAATCTAGTAGCAGCAGGCTAGGCAGGAGAACTGCAACTGCTTACAAAAGGCAGGTGGTTTAGCATTTTCACTTAGCATTCTTTTCCTAACGACCTCCAGCTGGCAACCTTCATTCAGCTCAAAACTTGGGACCTGGACCTCCGTATGGCCTGTGTTCCACAAGATGGGCTGGGAGCTCAGATGTTCCTCACAGAAAAGGAACAAATCTTCACTTTGGCCACACCCAGATTCCCCAGCTCAGAACATGCATTCAGGTGCATCTGCCATACACGGTCATTCTCAGGGTATGCTTCAGTTATTACTATCACATGTGTTCACCATACAGTTGTGACTGCAATAGAGTCCTCTGGCTCTGAAGAGCCTTACCACCAGTGAGTCTTCTGATCTGCTCAGGACAGACCAGCCTGGAACAGTGCTTCATTTTCCCACCAACCCCAAAACATGCTTGGTCCCAGAGCCAGTCAATCCATAAGAGAGTTCTTAGGCTGGAAACATCTTAGAAAGTCTTTCCAGAAAGACATCTCAGGTTGATATTAATACGGCTCTGTGGCCTTTAGAGGACCCTGGAAAGGAAGCATGTAGAGATGAGTCCTGCAGCCTGGCAACCTCCATTTGCATTCATGCCCAACCACAGAGCATCTTTAATATATCTGCATATCACCAGAGGTCCTCCTCAGGGGAAAATAACAGGTTCTGGGTATTCTCTGGAGTGTAAGGCTCTACAGGCTTGATAACTTCTTCTGACAGCAACGCCTGTTTGCCCTCTCACTAAGAGTTCTTCTGGCTTATGTGAATTTGAAAACATTTCTGCCTGAATATGTCCCATATATTCTCTATCATTTTTTGAAGGTCAGCAACTCTAGCCATCCAATAGTGATTATGCAGAAGATCTGTACATTGAACAGGTGACATAACCAAGAAAAAAATTGTGTCACTTGTAGTCTATACTTGACTCCTGTCCTCTAGAAATTGCATCGTGCCTTGATTTCTCTATTTGTAAATGTCAATTTAGTCTAACTCTCAAAGAGTTAAAACATTATTGGATAGGGTTAAAAAACATCTTGACTTTTGTTAAATATATATATTTATTTATATTTGTTATGCATTCTTATGTTTATATATTTTTAATGTTTACATATATTTTCTAGGAGACATAGTAAGGTGTTGACAGTGGTGATCTCTGATAGGCATATGTTTTCATTTCATCATTTTTGCTTAATTTATCTTCTAGAATGTAGTCCATGTACAAGGTAATAATGAAATATTATAGTTTTTGACCCATGCTATTTTATACATTCAGTGCATTAAATTTCTCTCCCTTTTACCTGTTCCCTTCCTAGCAGAAAAATGGTTTTTTAAAAGATAACTATTCAATGAAATATAAAAGAACTGCAAAAATACATACTAAGAATGTTAATAAACTAGGTTTCTAGTAATGAATAAAACGCTTCTTAAGGTTTTCCATGAAGTATTGGCCTTTGAGATGGAAATTTCCAAACTATTTTCATTTGCTACCATAAAAACTGCATGAGTGATCAGGCCTGATCACAGATGGGGAAATCCGGTGATGCCTGGATGATGGAAAAGGTAATAAGGCCCAGATATTGAGCTGTTTTCTTTAGACTGCACCTGGTTTATGGGGGCCTGAAGTACTCCAAATACTCTGTCATAATTTGTTGTTAGGAAAATGAGCTTAATGTCACGGAAAGGTCAGTCAAAGGTTGAAAACTATTTGAAATGAGAGCTTCTTATCACTACCTATTACTTTGAACCTAATTGTGTACTGTTATTTGTTCAACTGTTTGCATACCAAGGATTAGTTTAAAAGTTGAAATTTTGAAATATCTGGAAATAGTTTTCAGAGAGTTCCCTAGCCTGCCACTCTTTCACTACCCACATAACAGAAAGCTGGGTAGGAGAGGAGCAATTCCAAACCAAGGCCAAGACAAGTTCTTCTGAAGCCCTCTTGGGGCATCTGCTGGAGCAATACTGGTTTTTTGTTTGTTTGTTTTGTTTTTTTCCTTCAAGCTGGCAATAACGCCTATTTTAATCTAACCAACCAAATAAACAGCAGGGCCAAATGTCCCTTTTTTTTTTTTTTTTTTTTTTGAGACGGAGTCTCGCTCTGTTACCCAGGCTGGAGTGCAGTGGCGCGAATTGGACTCACTGCAAGTTCCGCCTCCCGGGTTCACGCCATTCTCCTGCCTCAGCCTCCCGAGTAGCTGGGACTGCAGATGACCGCCACCAGGCCCGGCTAATTTTTTGTATTTGTAGTACAGACGGGGTTTCACCGTGCTAGCCAGGATGGTCTCGATCTCCTGACCTCGTGATCCACCCGCTTCAGCCTCCCAAAGTGCTGGGATTACAGGCCTGAGCCACTGCGCCCGGCCAAATGTCCCATTTCTTAAATCTTAATTCTTCCCCCTGTGATAATCCAAAGTGCCTTGCAGTCCTGCTCAACTGGGCTTTGCCACATTCTGGACAGCCTGAGAATTGGATATAGTAGCTGAAACTAAATAATTTGGCACAGATCCCAAGTTATTTGCTTAAGTCTAACGGCAATTGTGTATTCGCCAAGCCCCATCACTGCTTTCTTCATTTCCTCTCACGTAAACTTGCGTAGAATTTTTTTAAGCACTACAATTAAAAAAAAAAAAGAATACGGATTTTTTTAAAGTTCGTATTGCTTTTTTCAATAATTTTTCCAAGTAAAAATTTCCTTGAGGGGAGAGGAGAATGGAGAGATGTTCACCGACAGGTACAAAGTTGCAGATAGACAGGAAGAATAAGTTCTGGTGTTCTATCACACAGTAGTGTGACTATAGCTAATAATGATGCATTGTATATTTCAAGATTGCTAGAAAGAATTTTGAATGTTATCACCACAAAGAAATGATAAATGTTTAAATTGTTGGATGTGCTAATTACCCTGATTTAATCATGGTACGATGTATACATGTATTAAAGCATCACACTGTACTCCATAAATATGTACAATTATGCGTCAATTATAAATAAAATAGAACTTTAAAAATTTCTCACCTATTTGTTATCCAGACACTTGCAAAGGGAACAAACAGTTTGTGATTTCGCTTGGTATTTGTTTTCTGTACTGAAATTTTTATTTTGTTTTTGCTTCATTTTTTGCTTTCTTGGCAAGGTTTGAAGATCTGCTTTTTCCATTTAATCACTCAATCCACAAACACTATTAAATATCTGCTGTCTTCAGAGCAGTGCTGGCATTGCGTGCTATAAGAAATACAAGGTATAAGGCCTGGTCATTACTATTACAGAGTTTATAATTTAGCTGAAATCAGAAATAAACATGAAAATCCATTATTAGCTAAAGCTCAATCAAAAAATTATTATTTCTGCCAAAAGAAACAGAATTAAAATACCTCTCCTTTCCATATGGAGGTACAAAATTAGGTACTCCGAGCGAGTTTAAGGGAACCATGAACTTTTTTTTTGTATAACTACTAGAAATGTTATAGAACATATTGTAGAAGTAAACTTTCTTAGGAATACCATTTGTAAAAAATTCAATACTAGAATTTGGGAAACATATAAAGGGACTGAAAAATCTGCAAAATATTAGGGGGACTAGGCTCAATGAAAGGGGAACAACACAAAAAGACAAGGAAACCATATTGGACCAGAAGAGGGACCACTGTCTTTAACCATCCACAATTTATAATTCTCATCAATGCCTTAAAAAAGAGGAATTTAAAACGCACATGTGTGTATATGTGCCTATATCTCAAAGATTATACAAGATACTGGCAATAGAGGTTGCTTTGGGTAGGAAAACTGGGACACAATGTAAAAAGAGACTTACGTTTCACTGTATGCCCTTTTGAACCTTTTAATTTTGTTTTATGTGTATATATAAACTAGCTTAAAAAATTAAGTAAATAATTTTAAAATGCATGTATGTAACAACCAGGACTCATACCAATATATTAATAGTAGTTATCTCTGAAAAATAACAGACTATTTGTTTTTCTTTTCTCTTTTGTATTTTTATAGTTTTCAAATTTTCTATAATAAATGTGTATTAATTTTATAATTACAAAACTTCAAATTTTAAAATTCCTCCAGTAACATGGAAAAATAGTGAGTGCATGAACAAAAAATAACTAAAATTAGTAATATCAATATTCTCACTGTATGGTATTAGTTGTTACATGTAATTTTACTTCTCAACAATATAGAAAATTAAATATAGTGTTTATTTTCACCTAATATTCTTTCTTTTGTTAATAATCTCACATCTTAGGAAGCCCATGTAGGAATTGTTACAAATATTTGAACTAAGCAGTCTCAACCCTTGGATCTTTGGGTGTCTAGGAAGTGCAAAACTGGACAGGCAGCACTCCTAACGTGGTTAGCATAAGTAATTTCTATACATTAACTACTCAAGAGTGGCCATAGAGAAGCAGATGCTGTTAACATGAGAATAATAAACTGTAATTACATACACAAAAAGGCTTTAAAACTTTTATACCTATCCCTACTAATGTTTGGATTAATAAATGACAGGAGAGAGTTTTAAAATGGTTTTATTATTTCTCCAGAGAAAATATGCAAATAGCCAATAAGTACCTGTAACAATACTCACCATCATTAGTCATTAAGAAATGAAAATGAAAATCACGAGATACTAGTTCACAAAAACTAGGCTGGCTATAATCAGTAACAGATAACAAGGGTTGTGTGGCAAAATAGGAATCCTTAATACATTGTTGATGGGAATGTAAAAATCATGCAGCTGCTCTGGAAAACAGTTTGGTAGTTCCTCAAAAAGTTAAAACATCGAGTTTCTATATGACCTAGCAGTTCCATATCTACATATATACTGAATAGAAATGAAAACATCCACACAAAGACTTGTGCATAAATGCTATGAGCAGTATTATTCTTAATAGCCAAAATGTGGAAAAAACCCAAATGTCCATCAGCTGATGAAAGGCTAAACAAAGTGTGGTATATCTTTATAATTATTATTCCGCCATAACAAGGAATGAAGTCCGGGCACGGTGGCTCACGCCTGTAATCCCAGCACTTTAGGAAGCAAGGGATGTTTCTGCTGCTGCGTCGGTGAGCGCAACTATTCCATTCAGCAGGATCCAGGGACCGTTGCAGGTTCTTGGGCAGGGGGAGAAACAAACCAAAACCACAGCGATTTTGTCTTTCAGATGGGAAACCGGCATCAACAGGCTCATCCTTGAAGTGCATCCTAAGCCATTGGGACCAGTTTGACCTGCAAACCCTGAAAAAGAGATGGCTCATTGTTTTTCTGCACTATGGCCTGGCCCCAATATTCTCTCTCTGATGGGGAAAAATGGCCACCTGAGGGAAGTATAAATTACAATACTATCCTGCAGCTTGACCTTTTCTGTAAGAGGGAAGGCAGATGGAGTGAAGTACCTTATGTCCAAGCTTTCTTATCATTGAAGGTGAATCCACAACTATGCAAAGCTTGCAATCTACATCCCACAGGAGGACCTCTCAGTTTACCCCCATATCCTAGCCTCCCTATAGCTCCCCTTCCTATTAATAAGCCTTCTCTAATCTCCCCCACCCAGAAGGAAACAAGCAAAGAAATCTCTAAAGGACCACAAAAACCCCTGGGCTATCGATTATGTCCCCTTCAAGCCGTAGTGGGAGAGCAATTTGGCCCAACCCGGGTACATGTCCCCTTCTCCCTCTCTGAATTAAAGCAGATCAAGGCAGACCTGGAGAAGTTTTCAGATTATCCTGATAGGTTCATAGATGTCCTACAGGGTCTAGGAGAAACCTTCGATCTCACTTGGAGAGATGTCATGCTACTGTTAGATCAAACCCTGGCCTTTAATGAAAAGAATGAGGCTTTAGCTGTAGCCTGAGAGTTTGGAGATAACTGGTATCTTAGTCAAGTAAATGATAGAATGACAGCCAAAGAAAGGGACAAATTCCCTACCGATCAGCAAGATGCCCCCAGTATGGATCCCCATTGGGATCTAGACTCAGATCATGGGGACTGGAGTCATAAACATCTGTTGACATGTGTTCTAGAAGGACTAAGGAGAATTAGGAAAAAGCCCATGAATTATTCAATGATGTCCACCATAAGTCAGGGAAAGGAAGAAAATCCTTCTGCCTTCCTTGAGCGGCTATGGGAGGCCTTAAGAAAATATACTCCCCTGTCACTCGACTCACTAGAGGGTCAATTGATCCTAAAAGATTATCCAATCAGCCACAGATATCAGGAGAAAGCTCCAAAAGTGAGCCCTGGGCCCTGAACAAAATCTGGAGGCATTATTAAACTTGGCAACCTTAGTGTTCTACAATAGGGACCAAGAGGAACAGGCTGAAAAGAAACAGCAAGATCAGAGAAAGGCCGCAGCCTTAGTCATGGCCCTCAGACAAACAAACCTTGGTGGTTCAGAGAGGACAGAAAATGGAGCAGGCCAATCACCCGGTAGTGCTTGTTATCAGTGTGGTTTACAAGGACACTTTAAAAAAAGATTGTCCAACAAGAAACAAGCCGCCCCTTTGCCCATGTCCATTATGCTGAGGCAATCACTGGAAGGTGCACTGCCCCAGAGGACAAAGGTTCTCTGGGCCAGAAGCCCCCAACCAGATGATCCAACAACAGGACTGAGAGTGCCCAGGGTAAGCACCAGTTCATGTCATCACCCTCACTGAGCCCCAGGTATGTTTAACCATTGAGGGCCAGGAAATTGACTTCCTCCTGGACACTGGTGCAGCTTTCTCAGTGTTAATCTCCTGTCCCGGACAGCTGTCCTCAAGGTCCGTTACCATCCAAGGAATCCTGGGATGGCCTGTAATCAGGTATTTCTCCCACCTCCTCAGTTGTAATTGGGAGACTTTGCCCTTTTCACATGCCTTTCTTGTTATGCCTGAAAGTCCCATGCCCTTATTAGGGAAGGACATATTACCCAAAGCTGGAGCTATTATCTACATGAATATGGGGAACAAGTTACCCATTTTTTGTGCCCTGCTTGAGGAGGGAATCAACCCTGAAATCTGGGCATTGGAAGGAACAAACTCAAGCTCCAGCCTTAAACCTTCCCATGAGACAAAACTTCTCTTTATACATCACAGAGAGAGCAGGAATAGCTCTTGGAGTCCTTACTCAGACTCATGGGACAACCCCACAACCAGTGGCATACCTAAGTAAGGAAATTGATATAGTAGCAAAAGGCTGGCCTCACTGTTTACAGGTAGTTGCGGTAGTGGCCATCTTAGAGTCAGAGGCTATCAAAATAATACAATGAAAGGATCTCACTGTCTGGACTACTCATTATGTAAATGGCATACTAGGTGCCAAAGGAAGTTTATGGCTATCAGACAACTGCCTACTTAGATACAAGGCGCTACTCCTTGAGGGACCAGTGCTTCAAATACGCACGTGTGTGGCCCTCCACCCTGCCACTTTTCTCCCAGAGGATGGGGAACCAATCGAGCTTGACTGCCAACAAATTATAGTCCAGACTTTTGCCGCCCAAGAGGATCTCTAAGAAGTCCCCTTAGCTAATCCTGACCTTAACCTAATATACCAATGGAAGTTCATTTGTGGAGAATGGGATACGAAGGGCAGGTTATGCCATAGTTAGTGATGTAATACTACTTGAAAGCAAGCCTCTTCCCCCAGGGACCAGCACCCAGTTAGTAGAACTAGTGGCACTTACCCGAGCCTTAGAACTGGGAAAGGGAAGAAGAATAAATGTGTATGCAGATAGCAAGTATGCTTATCTAATCCTATATGCCCATGCTGCAATATGGAAAGAAAGGGAGTTCCTAACCTCTGGAGGAACCCCCATTAAATATCACAAAGAAACCATGGAGTTATTGCACGCAGTGCAAAAACCCAAGGAGGTGGCAGTCTTACACTGCTGAAGCCATCAAAAGGGGATGGAGAGGGAAGAATAGCAGCATAAGCAGCTGGCAGAGGCAGCAGAAAGGAAAGAGAGAAAGAGACAGAAAATCAGAGAATGAGAGAGAGAGGAAGAAACAGAGAGACAAAGAGAAGGAGACAGAGAGGAAGAGACAGACAAAGAAGGAGTCAAAGAGAGAGACAGAGAGAGGAAGAGACAGAGAGAGAGAAAGTCAAAGAAGGAAAGAGAGGAAGAGTCAAAGAGAGAAGGAAAGAGAGGAAAAGAGAGACGAAGAAGTCAAAGAGAAAGAGAAATGGAAATAGTAAAGAAAAAAACAGTGTACCCCATTCCTTTAAAAGCCAGGGTACATTTAAAACCTATAATTGATAATTGAAGGTCTTCTCTGTAACCCTATAACACTCCAATACCACCTTGTTTTCAGTGTAAACAAGGGCATAGCCCGAAAGCACTGAGGCCACTGACAACCTGAAGTCAGCGAGACCATGAACCCACTGGAAGGAAGAAACTCCAGACACATCTGAACATCTGAAGGAACAAACTCTGGACACACCATCTTTAAGAACTGTAACACTCACCATGAGGGTCCACGGCTTCATTCTTGAAGTCAGCGAGACCAAGAACCCACCGGAAGGAACCATTTCTGGACACAGGATCACGAGGTCAGGAGATCGAGACCACCCTGGCTAACACGGTGAAACCCTGTCTCTACTAAAAATACAAAAAATTAGCCAGGCGTAGTGGCGGGCACTTGTAGTCCCAGCTACTTGGGAGGCTGAGGCAGGAGAATGGCGTGAGCCCAAGAGGCGGAGCTTGCAGTGAGCCGAGATTGCACTACTGCACTCCAGCCTGGGCAACAGAGCAAGACTCCGTGCCAAAAAAAAAAAAAAAAAAAAAAAGGAATGAAGTACTGATACATGCTACAATGTGGATGAACCTTGCAAACATTATGCTAAGTGAAAGAGTCCAGATACACAGATACACAAGGTCACATATTGCATAATTTCATTTATATAAAATGTCCAGAGACAGAAAATAGATTATGGGTAGCCAGGGACTGAGGGGAGGGAAGAACGAGGAGTAACTGCTAGGGTACCAGATTTCTTTGGGGGATGATGATAATGTTCTGGAATTAGACTGTGGTGATGGTTGTGCAATCTTGTGAATATACTAAAAGCTACTGAATTGTACACTTTAAAGGGGTGAATTATATGGGTATGTAAATTATATATCAATAATCTTTTTTTTTCATTTCATTAGGAACTGCATGCCTAAGGTCAGGGTATCAATATGATCAAGTTTATTGACTCATGGGTACAAGCATCCTGTGAGCTGATTCTTTGGGAGCTCATGATATTATTAATATTACTTACTTGATAGCATACTAAAACTAATCAATGCAGACCATATTTAAAATATCTTCATGATATACTAATTCTTAAGTTTTACTTTGAAATCTATCAAAAAGAAAGGTAATGTGACACATAAATAAAAGCAAATTTGATTATTTTACAGATTTTCATTATAATAGGACAGTGGTTCTGGTCATTTTTAGACATCTTACCACCAAGCCTGAACTACCACGCAGTAAAAACTGACAACAATCTGACCCTAAATATCAAATTAGACTCATTACAGCAAGTAACTAGCAGCTTATGTATGATCAAAATCTGATTTCTCATAGCCATGAACATATTTCCTTCCTTTACACACTGACCAAGAAGTCTGTATTTTAATTACTATAAATTATACCTTATTATGACTAATCTAAAAATGGGAATCCTTTTTTAATGTTGGGCATATACAGCAGTTATTAAATTTCTATGTTTTATTGGTAGATTTCAATGAAAACATCTAAATTCTCTGGGGTTTTCTCTGTAATTATTTGGTTGTTAATATAGTATAATAAGAGGACAATAAAATCACTGAATGGGGCTGAACCCCTCATTTCTCTTTTCTTCCCCTACACACATGGCATATTCATGTAATTTCATTTTAAGGTGTTAATTAAGGCTGGCATGGTGGCTCACGCCTATAATCCCAGCACTTTGGGAGGTTGAGGCGGGAGGATCGCTTGAGTGCAGGAGTTCAAGATCAGCCTGGGCAAAATAGTGAGAGCCCTACAACAAATAAAAAATGTAAATTAGCCAGGCATGGTGGCAAAAGTCTGTGGTCCCAGCTACCTGGGAGGCTGAAGTCGGAGGATCACTTGAGCCTGGGAGGTTGAGGCTGCAGTGAGCCATAATTGTACCACTGCACTCCAGCCTGGATAACAGAGCAAGACCCTGTATCGAAACAAAGAAAAAAGTTGTTAATTAAAATATTTTTGTTTAGCATTCAATAGGAAATTGTTGCTGAAACACCAGGTATTCTGTCTAGGTCCTGCTGCTCACAGCTCATAAAGCCAATCACTGAGACAACAATTATTGCCAAGGAAGAAGGCTTTAACCAGGTGCTACAGCTGAGGAGATGGGAGATCAATCTCAAATCCATCTCTGACTAACTAAAATTAGGCGTTTATATAGCAGGAAAGAAATGTAACAATGTATAAGAAAACAGCAACTAGGGAGGGGTAAGGAAGTGATCATAATGAATGAAGGGACTGCCATCTCATTGTCTGGATGCAGTGATCTTGTGAGTTTCAGTTCTTTGACACATTTTTTAAGAGGACTTCTGGAGGAAGAAGCCCAGATAAAATAAATGTAAGTTTCAAGCTTTAAGACCAGAACAGTTAATTTCTATGTTTATGAAAAAAACAATCTATGGCAGCAGTCTCCAACATTTTTAGCACCAGGGACTGGTTTCGTGGAAGACAATTTTTCCACAGACAGTGAGGGCCATGGTTGTGGGATGAAACTGTTCCACCTCAGATCATCAGGCATTAGATTCTCATAAGAAGCATGCAACCTAGATCCCTGGCATCCACAGTTCACAATAGGGTTCACACTCCTAAGAGGATCTAATGCTGCTACTGATCTGACAGGGGATGGAGCTCAGGTGGTAATGCTCACTCGTAGCTCACCTCCTGCTTTGCAGCCCGGTTCCCAACAGGCCATGGATGGGGGCTGGGGACCCCTGGTCTATGGGACTATTGGGTCAGTTTCAAAATGTTTATGCCAATAAAATAGACTTTTCTTATAACCTTGAATTAGTTATCTGCTGCTACATAGCAAATTACCCCAAATCATAGTGACTAAAAATAAAAATTTTATTATCTCAGTTTCTGTGAATCTGGAATTTAAGAGCCACTTAGCTGGGTGGCTCTGGCTCAGGAGCTCTCATGAAGTTGCTAGAGCTGCAGGCATTCACAGCCTTGATTGAAACTGGAGGATCCATTTCTACAAAGGCTCACGTGCATGGCTATTGGCAGTAGGCCTCAGTTCCTCATTGCACATAGAGCTGTTTCATGTATCCTCCCAACTTGTCACCTGGCTCCCGCCCCACCCCCAGGCCAGTGATCTGAAAGAGAGAGCAAGGAGCAGGCCACAAAGCATTCTATGATCTCATCTTGGAAGCTGCACATTATCACTTCCACCATACTCAATTCATTAGAAGTGAGTCCCTAAGTGCAGCCCATACTCAGAGAGAGAGGAATCAGTCTCCACCTTTAGAAGGGAGGAATGGCAAAGAATTTGTGGATGTATTTTAAAATCTCTACAAATCCCTTTAAAATAAGTTGATTCGTATGAGTATACTTTATGCTTTAAAAATAAGCCTAATATATGTATTAATTTGCCTCTGAATCTTACTTTACTAATTTTGAAAGTTATATGATCGGATTGTAATTCTTTTGTTTCAAAATTTTTTCTCCATTTCATATATTATTACTCTCTGTGAGAAAAAGTCAAAGACTAACAAGAAAAGTACTGTGATAAAGATTACTAATTCTCATCACATATCCATGTGCTTGTGTATATTTCACTGCCTTCCTTTGGGGACTTATGACAATTTTTGGCCAATAAAATGTAAGTGGTAGTAATGAATGTCACATAAATGATAAAAGAGTTAAGAACTAAGTTGCCTTTTTTTATCCCTCTTTTTCCTTGCAATGGCAACCTTGAACAACACATGTTCTAGCTGGTACAGCTACAAGAAGAAAGAGGGTGTCCTAATAGTGGATTGTGTTGTGAATGAAAAGTAAATGTTTATTATTTTAAGCCACTAAAATGCGGAAATCAACTTTTTAGTCAGCATACCGTACCGAGGGGTGACTAACACATATTGCTTCATTTTAAATGTAGCAATACAAATGTAAAAGTACAGTTCTCTTAGGTCTTGAACAAATTTTTAATTGGAAATTAAGCTATTTCCACTTAAAAACAAGTAATAGAAACTAATACTAGAATATTTAAATCCAGTCAGTGCAGCCTCATGCAGGTAGCTGTGATCTAACTGTAGACCAAAAGAAAAATAGCCTTGAGTAAAAAAACAACTTTAAGAAAGAATTGATAGAGCTTTAATTTCAGAAAAACCCAGAGATTAAGAGAAATGATAAAAGAAGTTTATGACCTTATAGTGAATCCATTCTAAAGTGATACTTCTGAAAGCTGAATGTAAGACTTAAAAAAAACTATGAAAGCAAGAAAAAAAGAATCAAATAAGCATATTCCTAATGTTTGGAGGCTAAAATCTAAGATAATGTTTTATGTGTGACAAAGCCTAGGGCCATTAACATACTAAGTGTGAAAACTGAAACTAAAACTAAATCCCTAAATTAATCACTGTATTTTAGACATCTTGTCATATGTGTCTTTGGTGGAGTAGAAGGTAGACTGAATGAAGGAGGTGAGGAGAATGATGTTCTTCCAAAGAAAAAGTGAAAGAATTGGGAATTAAGAAAAGGAGAGGCAGGAAAGATTCATAAATTGGCAGGAGAAAGAGGGAGCAAGATTATTTTAAATAAAGAAAAATAAGTAGTGATAATGAATTCCATTCATTCAAAAAGAAAAAAAAGGCCCAGTGCATTTATTTCATTTTTTTACCTGCAGGTGGCAGCTCTTCCTAAATATGTCATGGAAATGTCCATGAGTATTTCTGCATTGTCTTCCTGTAGGCAATCCTCAGAACTGAATCCCAGCTCTCAAAATAAACACAAAAACAAACAAAACCACCAAAAAAACAAAAGACAAAAACTATATTGCCATTACTTCTCAGTATAGCACTAAAAAAGAAAATTCTTTAAACAGCTTTAATTCCCCCCCAAAAATGTAAAACAAATGCCTCCAGGGAGTATAATAGAAACAAAATAACAAGTATATGACTATTTCTTCCAATATAGTAATTGTCAGTTACTTCCTGAACTTCTTGGGGTTGTGTCTTGTTTTACTTTGTTTGTTTTGTAAGTTTTTAATTGTCTGAACACATTGGCCAAATTACAAAAGGCCAGAATTACACTAATTATATTAAAAAAATTAAATACACAGGAAGACCACTGTGTATTTTTTCAAGGATACATATATGTCCAAATAAGTATTAGGAGAGCATATTGTAAAGGCATATGTTACATGCATTAATTCTAGTGTCTGGAGGAGAGGGAATGGGATTAGAAATAGAAGATGAAAGGAGAAAAATAATGAAGTTGATTTAGAGTTATCCCAAGTATTTCATGGTTTTTGTTTCTTTTGTAAATAGTATTTTTAAATTTTCTATTTTAAACTGCTTACTGTTAGTACATAGATAAATATAATTGATTTTTGTATATTTACCTTATATCCTAAAATGTCGCTACATTCACTCTCACTGGCTTCTTTTCCTTTATGTAATCCCAGTGTTCCTCAGCTGCAGATCCACTGTTAGCATCTACCATGTATAAGGTGCACAGCACATGCCAAGCACTATGGCAGATACTTTATATATCTTCCCTTCACACCACATGGCCTCTCTTCCATTTCCACATATTCTCTTATTGACTTCATCTGCTGCTCTGCCCTGACTTCCAACTCTAGTGTCTGTAGGCCTCACCTTTACCCACAGTGTAGTTTCACATTTCCAGTAGATTTCTGGACTTTGTCGTATTGTTTCTCATTGACCCCTCAGACTTGATATGTCTGAAATGGAAAGCATACTATTGTGCCATTCCAGCTTCCATCTTATATTCTATCAGAAAATATGTGCTAAAAAGTTACCACAGAAAATATTGTAGTATATTTCAAGTCACTCTATACACTGAAAAAAAAATCCATATACCTCAAACCCTATAAATTTGTATGCTTTATGATGTGACATTCCTTACCTCTGTCATTTGACCATGCTAAAGGGAAAGAAAAAAGTTGTCACCTTTTGACAAAGCAGCTAAAGAATCATCACAAAATATAATAAGTACCCACAATAAGTTGAACACATAATTCCTAAAAATAATGAACTCCTCAGAATTTAGAGAGAAAGAGATTAATAAAAGTCACTTTCTGAGTTAACTTTTCAAATGGTACTGATAATATTAGCGTGTTCTCCAAATTCCATCAAAAAGACCATGCTGCTCCTTAATTTTATCAAAGAGAGTAAATATAATGATAACTTTAGGAATAGTTTATTATTTATATTTATTATTGTCTACAACAGTGCCATTCTACAATAACTGAAGAATAATGATAAATATGGGGTGTAAAATGTGAGAACCAAAGAGCAATGATTTGTCAATATTTATCTACTTTATCTATAGCAGAAGGTATTGTGATTAACCAATTCAGGCTCTCTGGTCAGACTAATTATGTCCCTATATTAAGAAGCTATCCTAGTTAAATGACAACTGTTCACAGCCTCAACTCAGCCCATTTGCTCTTCATACCTACCACACAACTCTTTGGTATACCAACAGGCCTTTCTTATTGGGAAAAATTGTGCTCAAAAGTCAACTCCTGGGAGACGGATAAATTGAATTCCTGTGCCTCTGAATCTAGCACACACCTGAACCTTTAACCAGAAGTGACTGATCTGTCTATGACACAGCTCCTCCCTACGGCTGAACAAGTGGAATCTAGTTTCTTGCTCCCCAACACACTTTATAGTCAGCTTTACTTATATAAGCTTTTGCTTGGTATGACCTAACGAAGTTTCCAATTTTTATTATAGGCCTGGAATTTCACTCTTCAAACAGTAAATTCATTTGCTTTAGCTTAAAATACTTGAATAGATTTTTTTTTTAAAAACTATACATGTCTTATCAAAATACTTGAAGGAATTTGGGAAGGGAAAAATCCATCATTTTGTTACTTTAATACAGCTATTATTATTTTTTGTTCTCCTTTCTGGCCAAATTGCCTTATAAAAAAATGACAACAGTTGACAACTCAGCAATGTGTGTACACAGTGGTAAACTTTTTCTGTAAAAGGGCAGATTGTAAATATTTTGGGCTTTGCAAGTCATACAGTTTCTAAAGCAACTTCTCAACTCTGCTCTTGTAGCACAGAAGCAGACATAGACATTAAGAAAATGAATAACCGTTGCTTTGGTCCAATATAATTATTTGGGAATGATAAAATTTTAATTTCATATAATTTTCACGCAGCACAAAACATTATTTTTCTTTTGTTTTTTCTTTTTTTCTCCAGCATTTGAAAGTGTAAAAACCAGTCTTAGCTTGTGTGCCATCCAAATGTGGACAGTAGGCTTGATACTCATGAACACAGAGTTGACCAGCCCTATTTAAAAATAGACCATTTCTCTAGTTTTGACCTATGTCCTGAGCTCTATAGACAAATTTTCAGCTTTTTCCTGTTTATCGTGATACGAATATTCCAACAGCATGTTAAACAAAAGACGTTTAAAACCTAACTCAGAACTTACCTGAAATTCCCTATTTCTGTTGATCCACAGCTGAAATTTAGAAATCATCTAGACAGGTTCAGCAACCCCTGTGAAGTTCTGTCCTGTTTCAAATATGTCTTCACTTTCAAATTCCCATACCCAGCATCTGAATTAATGCCTTCATTTTTCTCTTCTACATTGTTGCTATGGCACTGTAATTGGTTTCCCCTACTCCAATATATCCAACATACTGCTCTCAGAAAAGCCTCCTAAAGTGCTGCTCTAATTATGTCACTACACAATTTTACAACTTTCTCTAAATCTATTGCTTACAAAATGTAATGTAAGTTCTTCCAACTGGCAGTCAAGGCCATCCAAAACATTATCCCAAATATCTTTCTAGTCTTGCCTCCCACTAACTCTCATTCAATGATGTGTTTTGTTTGTTTAGAGACAGGCTCTTTCTCAGTTGCCCAGGCTGGAGTGCAATGGCATGATCATAGCTCACTATAGCCCTGAACTCCTGGTCTCAAGTGATTCTCCTGGTCTCAAGTGATTCTCCTGCTTTGGTCTCCCAAAGCACGGGATTACAGGCATAAGTCACTATGCCTGGCCCTCAACAAATGTGAATAGCACCTATTAGGCACTGTGCTGGATACTCAGGTACAAGATTGAGCAAAAACAACATGACTTCTGCCTTCGTGGAGTTTATAGTCTAGTTGTGGGTAAAGGCATGAGTCAAATAATCACATAAAAGATACAATAATAAAACTGGCATGCAACAATAACATGGAATAATCTTTTCAAAGAATTGAAATAATTTTAAATCTAGAATTTTACATAAAACTAAACTATTATATCGGTGTGTGACTGAACCAGAAACTCTCAGTCACACAAGGCATCAGAACATTCATCACATAAAGATCTTGTCTGAAACTATATTTGGAAAAAGTACTCCAACAACAAGAAAAATATTTCCAAAGGCTTTGAGCTCTACAGGAAATAAAATTTTGATAGGCTTTGTTGTGGTGATATTTTCACAAATGTATACATATTACTGAAACACCAGGGGTTTGGTCTAGGTCTTACTGCTCACTGCACAAAAGCCAATCACTGAGACAAGTGTTGCCAAGGAAGAAGGCTTTAATTGGGTGTTGCACCTGAGGAGATGGGGGCTCAGTCTCAAATCCATCTCCCTGAGTAACTAAAACCAGGGGTTTATATTAGCAGGGAAGAAATGTAACAATATGTAAGAAAACAACAACTAGGACGGGCCAATCATGGTGAGTGAGGGGGTCCTGCATCTGCTGCCGTGATCTGATGAGTTTCAGTTCTTTGGTGCCTTTTTGAGAGGCCTGAATGTTGTTTCCTGAGGAAAGAACTCAGATAAAACAAATATGAGTTTCAAGCTTTAAGAACAAAATGGTCAATTTCTATGTTTATCCAAAAGAACAGTCTATGGGACTATTGGTTCAGTTTCATACATATTTGAAAGCTTATAAAAGTGTCCACTTTAAATATGAGCAGCTTATTGTATGTCAATTATTCCCTAGTAAAATGTGTAAAAATCTGATAAAAATTTAAAAATATATATGTACAGCTTAAAGTAAAAGAATACAGTGAACACCTGTGTAGTCAATATCTAGGTTAAGAAAAGCAATTACATAAATCAATGTAAAATTATGACTGTGACTGGTGCTATGAGAAAAGGTGGGAAAGAGCCTAGAATAAAGGTTTTTGACTTCAGGAAGTTAGAGGAGCCTTCCCTGAAAAAGTGATGCCTGATCCTAAAACTGATAATTGACTCAAAATCTTAAAAGTCAACACTTAGATAGTAATGCTACCTGCCAGGTACTGTTTTACATGTTTTACACATAGTAACCCATTTAATCCTCACAACATTGCTTCATGTTGATTCCTTTATTATCCCCACTTTACAGATGAGGAAATTAAAGAACTGAATAGTTAAGTAGTTTGCCTGAGGTCACACAGCCAGTAAGTAGTGGTAGCATTCCCTGGGAAATGAGACACTGGAAGAGCAACAGGCATGGGGTGTATCAGTGTATGTGGTTACAAGCAACAGAAACTGATTTTAGCTATCTATATTAGTTTAGATATTAGTTAGGTTTACCTGAATGGTTTTCCATTACTGGCTGATAACTGTTTTTTCTGTTTCTCCGTGGCTTTCTCAAAGTCCTAAGAAGATTACAATTCCCATGATGGCCACTCAAAGATTAATCCAAGGAGTGTAACCTGCAGCAGTTGGCCACAGCATTGGATAGGCAGCCAGCCTGGTATTGGGCATTTGCCTACAGGGTACAAGTGCTGCTATCAGTAAGATATATGCTCATTTTGGCCAGGAGAACATTGTCTGATGAGAGCTAGCACATCGGATAGACAGCAACTTGGCTTGCAGGCCTGTAGGCTGGCAGGAACCTGCACAAACTCCAAGTGGTGCACAGAGCACCCATTTCCCCAAGGGCCAGGTGCTAGACTCAGAGAAGAAATAGGACAGTCCTTTGCGGGCTCGCTAGGAGGCCGGATTTGACAGACGGGCAGGGCCTAGCCAATCAAAGGAGACACGAACCACAGGGCTGGCGCAAGGTCCTGGAAGCCTCTTTATGTGCCAAGCATCAACCTTTCAGTTGTTGGATTTTTGAGAGCTGGGAGGGAGGGTCCTATGGGAAAGGCTAGTGGCTGACATTATGAGAAAAGGATGCTCCAGAAGGCTTGGAGCAGCAGCTATCTACCAACCGGTGGGAAAGGATTTCAATGTCTTAACCATAGTAAATGCCATAGCTGTGTGATTCCATAGATAGCAGATACCTATTTTTCTTTTTTGCTGTCACTGTTGAACAGTAGTTAGGTATTATTTTCTCTTCTTTTTTTTTTTTTTTTTTTTTTGGAGACAGGGTCTTGCTGTGTCACCAGAGCTGGAGTGTCGTGGCACTATCACAGTTCTCTGCAGCCTCCATCTCCCAGGCTCAAGCGATCTTCCCACCTCAGCCTCCCTAGTAGCTAGGACTACAGGTGTTCACCACCAGGCCCAGCTAATTTTTGTATTTTTTGTAAAGATGAGTTTTCACCATGTTACCCAGGCTGGTAAGTATTATTTTCTTTCAGCTCTTTTAATATATTACTTCATGGTGTCCTGATTTTTATTGTTGCTGTTGAAGTCTGTTGAGGGTTCATCATCCTATAAATATAATATGTCTCTTCTCTGTTTCTTTTTGAGATCTTCTGACTTGGATGCTTTTTAGTTTTCACATGATGTATATAGATATAGATTTCTTTTTATTTATTTTCCTCAGGAATTCTATTTCATAATCTTAGGTTTCATATCTCAAGTGTTAATGATACTTGAAATATTATATCTTTGAATATTTCCATACCCCATTCTTTATTGCTCCTTCTTCTGGAATTCCTCTCTTTGCTATTTTCATCTTCATATACTAAATTCTGGGTAACTTCTTCAGGCTTTTTTATTAGCACATAAGTTCTCTTCTTTGTCTTAAAAATTTTTTATTTGTATTAAGGTAATACGAGCAAATAGTTTAATGTATCAAAGAGGCAACCAATCAACCAATTTAATTTTTTTTTTTTTGAGATGCAGTCTCGCTCTGTCATCAGGCTGGAGTGCAGTGGCACGGTGTTGGCTCACTGCAACCTCCACCTCCGGGGTTCAAGTAATTCTTCTGCCTCAGCCTCCCGAGTAGCTGGGACTACAGGCATGCACCACCATGCCCAGCTCACTTTTGTATTTTTAGTAGAGACGGGGTTTCACCACGTTGGCCAGATGGTCTCAATCTCTTGATCTCATGATCCACCTGCCTCGGCCTCCCAAAGTGCTGGGATTACAGGCGTGAGCCACTGTGCCTGGCCCCAATTTAATTTTTTTTACTGACTCCTTTTGCTATTACTTTTGTATCATTAAATAACATACTTTTATTGCTAATTCAGATTTAAGTTTTATTTCCATTATCTATTGCTGCATAACAAACCACCCCAAAAAGTGGCTTAAAACAACAATTTTATTATTTCTCACAATCCTGTTGAGTGACAAGGTGATTCTTCTGGTTCATATGGTACCAGCTAAAATTTGGACACTAGAAGGCTTAAATGACCTCCTATAGTTTGGCCTGGCTGCCAGCTGAGAGCTCAGCTGGAGCTGTCAGCTAACCCACTTCATTCTCCTCCACGGAGTCTCTCCAACATGGCAATTAGAGTCTCAGTCGAATATTAGTTACACAAACATTTAGAATTGTTATGTCTTCTTGACTAGTGCAGCTTCTTATCATAATACAACATCCCTCTTTATCACTGGTAATGCTGCTTATACTGACATTTAATTTGTATGATATTAATAAATTATACCAGCTCTATGACTATGATTAGTGTTTATATGGTTACATATTTTTCCTTCCTTACTTTTAACATATCTGTGTCTTTGTATTAAGAGTGAATCTCTTGTGCACAACGTATAGTTGGTCTTTTTTTATCCTGTCTGAAAAAAAAAATCTTACCTTTTAACTAGTGTGCTTAGTCCATTTACATTTAAGGTAATTATTTATATGGTTGGTTTAAGTTGACCACCTTGTAATTTGCTTTTCATTAGGACTTTCTTTTGTTTATTGTTCCTTCTGAGAGGTGACAACATGTTAGCAGCCCTCACTCGCTCTCAGCGCCTCCTCGGCCTCAGCGTCTGCTCTGGCCACGCTTGAGGAGCGCTTCAGCCCACCGCTGCACTGTGGGAACCCCTCTCTGGGCTGGTCGAGGCCCGAGCCGGCCCCCTCAGCTGGTGGCGAGGTGTGGAGGGAGAGGCGCGAGCGGGAACCGGGGCTGCACGCGGCTGCAGGCCAGCGCGAGTTCCAGGTAGGCGCGCGCTCGGCAGGCCCGGCGCTTGGCGGGCGCTGCCGGCCCCAGGCAGTGAGGGGCTTAGCACCAGGGCCAGCAGCTGCGGAGGGTGCGCTGGGTCCCCCAGCACTGCTGGCCCACCAGCACCGTGCTCGAATTCTCACCAGGCCTCAGCTGCCTCCCCGCAGGGCAGGGCTTGGGACCTGCAGCCTGCCATGCCTGAGCCTCCCCTGTGCCCTGGGCTCCCGTGCGGCCCAAGCCTCCCTGACAGGCGCTGCCCCCTGCTCCGTGGTGCCAGGTCCCATCGACCACCGAAGGGCTGAGGAGTGCAGGCACCCGGCGAGGGACTGGTGGGCAGCTCCGCCCTTGGCCCCCAGCATGGGATCCACTAGGTGAAGCCAGCTGGGCTCCTGAGTCCGGTGAGGACTTGGAGAACTTTTATGTCTAGCTAGAGGATTGTAAATGCACCAATCAGCACTCTGTGTCTAGCTCAAGGTTTGTAAATGCACCAATCAGTGCTCTGTGTCTAGCTAATCTAGTGGGGACTCGGAGAACTTTTGTGTCTAGCTAGAGGATTGTAAATGCACCAATCAGCACTCTGTGTCTAGCTCAGGGATTGTAAACGCACCAATCAGCACCCTGTCAAAATGGACCAATCAGCTCTCTGTAAAACGGACCAATCAGCTCTGTGTAAAATGGACCAATCAGCAGGATGTGGGTGGGGCCAGATAAGGGAATAAAAGCAGGCTGCGGGGAACCAGCAGCGGTAACCCTTTTGGGTTCCTTTGCACAATGTGGAAGCTTTGTTCTTTTGCTCTTTGGAATAAATCGTGCCGTTGCTGTCTGTTTGGGTCTGCACTGTCTTTATGAGCTGTAACACTCACCAGGAAGGTCTGTAGCTTCACTCCTGAGGTAAGCGAGACTGTGAACCCGTCAGGAGGAATGAACAACTCCGGACTGGAGGAACGAACAGTTCCAGATGAGCTGCGTTAAAAGCTCTAACACTCACCACGAAGGTGTGTAGTTTCACTGCTGAAGCCAGCAAAACCACGAACCCCCCAGAAGGAACAAGCTTCTAACACATCCGAACATCAGAAAGGAACAAACTCCAGACACACCATCTTTAATAACTGTAACACTCACCACGAGGGTCTGCGGCTTCATCTTTGAAGTCAGTGAGACCAAGAACCCACCAATTCTGGACATACTTCCTGACTGATGTCATAGAAAAATATTTTAGTTTTTTTAAGGTTTTTCTTGTTACCATGTGTCCTTCACACCCTTCTACATATTAGAAATTAGGAGAAATCTCTCCATTAATTATTTAATTTCAGTGTCTCTGTATTTTTGTTATTTCTTTTTTTTTTTTTTTTTTTTTGCGGGGGCGGTATGGGGGTGGGCACAGAGTCTCGCTCTGTCACCTAAGCTGGAGTGCAGTGGCGCAATCTTGGCTCACTGCAAGTTCTACCTCCCGGGTTCACACCATTCTCCTGCCTCAGCCTCTTGAGTGACTGGGACTACAGACACCTGCCACCACACCTGGCTAATTTTTTGTATTTTTAATAGAGACAGGGTTTCACCGTGTTAGCAGGAATGGTCTCGATCTCCTGATCTCGTGATCCTCCCTCCTCAGCCTGCCAAAGTGCAGAGATTACAGGTGTAAGCCACCACACCCGGCCAGTTCTGTTTCATTTTAATAGCTCTTTAGTATTTCCTTGCTTTTTATGGCATCAATCATTGTAAACATGCTTATTTTATAGTGTCCATCTGATTTCTTTGCTGTATTTATTTTATAAATTGAATGAGGTTTTTTTTTCCTGCTATTCCTTAATGTCTGCCAATAGTCATGGCATTTTGTGATTGCAGGCTCATTTTCAGTGTGGCTTTATATCTGTGGGAATCTTGTACAACCTAGATAAAAGGTATGTCTACCCAGAGTAACTTTTTTGCTTTCCAAGAAATCTCAAGGACATTGCTGCCCCAAACCACTTTCTTTTTCTTTTTCCTTTTTCTTTTTCTTTTCTTTTCTTTCTTTTTTTTTTTTTTTTTTTTTTTGAGACAGAGTCTCAGTCTGTCACGAGGCTGGAGTGCAATGGTATGATCTCAGCTCTGCCTCCCGAGTTCAAGTCATTCTCCTGCCTCTGCCCCTGCCTCCCAAGTAGCTGGAATTATAGGCACCCACCACCACACCTAGCTAGTTTTTGTATTTTTAGTAGAAATGGGGTTTCATCATGTTGGCCAGGCTGGTCTTGAACTCCTGACCTCAAGTGATCCGCATGCCTTGGCCCCCCAAAGTGCTGGGATTACAGGTGTGAGCCACCATGCCTGGCCCCAAACGACTTTTTATGTTAATTTCTGGACTGGGGTTCCAAGACCCTAAGGTTAATGTGAATTCCAACTCTTTTAACTAGAAAGAAGACAGGCCTTTTTTTCCAACTCAGATCACACCCATAGTAATAAACTTTCCCCCAAAAGCTATTGAAAAAAAAATTAAGTAGTAACAAATTTCTGTTTTCATCTCCCAGTAGACTAGGTGGCTTTTATCCAGAGTGAGATCTTCTAAGGGTTCTGACTTTATGTATACTTCTCAGGCTCCTCCCTTTATGTGGGTCCAAGGCTTTGTCTCTTGTCCCAGGGTGGATGTTAAAACGTGTGCCAGTTATGATCTATCCTCTTTGCTCTGATTTTTTATTCTAAAACTGGACTCTGCAGACACCCCTTCTCGTTCATTGGCTGATTCTATGTTAGGATCTCCCAATACAGGGTGCTGCAGGGACACTGCAAGGGTGGAAGAAGTGGCATCCTTTTTCCTCTGTTCTGTTTATATAGTGGCAAGTGGATCAGCAGGAAGGAATCCTGGCAGTGTTTATCACCGTGGCCGTAGCCCTCCTGCTTCAGTGGCTAGTGCTTCCTAGCCTACACAGGGAGTTCATGGGTAGGCAACTTCTATTATGCTCTCCCTTACCGTAGTGGCAGGCAGCATGTTTCTATGGCATCCATAACTCTTATCAGAAACTTGAATATCTAGCTTGTAGGGCCTTCCTCTAACTTTCTAAATTCTTTCCTTGTTCACTTTTCTTCAGTTCCAGTGGTGGTTGCTACTCCCTGCAGGAGCTACATCTGTTTGACTTACATTTTCCTTCTAGCATTAACCACCACTGACCTACCTACTGATTCCCATATTAAATTTCCCTTGTTCGAATTACTAGTGTGGTTTCCAACTAGGCAAGAGAGATCTGGAACAAACTCTGCCTAGAGGAAGGACTCCATATTAATCGTGTAACTGTTCCTATTTATCCCTCATCCCTCTCTTTGTGAAATGTGTATGTTGGGTGATCAAAGAAGGAAGCAAATTACTTAGTGTGCATTGTACTCAGTGTTACTAACTAATGAAGCTCATCTCACATACATCCAAAGGCCAGAAAAAATGAGTTGCTGGTGACTGAGCCAATAGTTAAATAACTTTCCCTTTTATCTTTAAGAACATCTTTTTGTGCCTTTTTTCTTGGAAAATTACTCAAATGATCTACTTAACTATTAAGTTATGCAAATATAAAGTAAAAGAGCATCACGAGAAATAAATTTGAGAGAAGTGATTTTAAAGAGCCAAAATACTCTGCGTGATAGTGTAAAAAGTTGTTTGCATTATATAAAGTGTTAGTTGTCTTGGACTTTTTTTGGACAAATGTTTGTTCATTAACTATTAATTTAAGCTGTGATGTGTCTGCAAAATGTTATCTATTCTTATGGAAATGTGCTCTTGTTCAAGCCATTGTTGAGTACATGGGAGCTGAAACTAGACTTGGTGCACCAAAATTCTCACTTATAATGGAAGGAAATATGTACAAATGAATTAGGCAATGTCGAGGCTGGTTCAATTTAAACCTGAACTGGCTTATTGGTCTTTCATATGGTATTATTTAAGACTGAATAAATAAGACTTTAGGAACAATAATGATACTAGCTTGTCGTATTAAGAAGAAATTATTCCATTTGGGTTCCCAGGACAATACACTCCTAATTGGTAGGGACTGAGGTCTCCCTTTAAGTCAGAGGATATTCTCACTTATAATCATCTGGGAAAGAGGCAAATCATGGGACAGACAAGGCCTGAGAGTTGGGGAATTTTTCCTCTACCTATGCCACATTTTCTTGGAGCCTGATTTCAAGTAGTGGTGTGAAGTGTGCCTGAGGACTGTTTAAGAGACAGAAATTTTAAAAGACTAGCGTTTTGTATTGGATGACAGGAATGTAGCTACAAAGGAAAGTATAATATTGATGAAAATTTCCTTCGGTCTGTGGATAATAACACCTACTATTTATATTTATGGTATTTTAGATAATTATAGTATAGCCTATTTAGTACATTATAGAAATTATAACATAACTATATTATACTAAGTACTTGATAGTGCTTAGTAATTTATCCTAACAACAAAGGCAAATTTTGTTTAGTGCTTAATCATTTATCCTAACAACGAAGGCAAAATTTATCTCATTATCTCCATTTTATAGTAGTCATATCTAGTACTCTGTATAAATTTTGGTAATCGAAACTACGCTCAGTGAGTTAAAAGTACGACTTTGTGTCCATATTTGGAACAATGTCGTAATGGAAAACACAGAATTCTTCCCTTTGCAGGGACCACATAACCTCCACACCACACATAACCTCCACACCAAACATAATAGTAGCAAATGATCTCAAAATGACAAAAAGTGATTAGCAGTCAATAGAGAAGAAGTTCTGAGCAGAGATTCAGATATGGAACCACATAATCCAGAAGACAATTAGGGGTACACGTTGCATCCTGACGGACTTCGGAGCACCTACGAGAAAAGATCATTCCCTTCAACTTCAGAATAAAATACTTGAGAGAAGAAAATGTTGTGGGTTTTTTTTTTTTTTTTTTTTTTTTTTTTTGAGACGGAGTCTCGCTCTGTCGCCCAGGCCGGACTGCGGACCGCAGTGGCGCAATCTCGGCTCACTGCAAGCTCTGCTTCCCGGGTTCACGCCATTCTCCTGCCTCAGCCTCCCAAGTAGCTGGGACTACAGGCGCCTGCCACCGCGCCCGGCTAATTTTTTGTATTTTTAGTAGAGACGGGGTTTCACCTTGTTAGCCAGGATGGTCTCGATCTCCTGACCTCGTGATCCACCCGCCTCGGCCTCCCAAAGTGCTGGGATTACAGGCGTGAGCCACCGCGCCCGGCCGGGGTTTTTTTTAACTTGTATTTTAGGTTCAGGAATACATGTGCAGGTTCGTTATATGGATAAACTCATATCACAGGGATTTGTTGTGCAGATTATTTCGTCACCCAGGTATTAAGCCTAGTACCCAAGAGAATTTTGAAAAGGATGGGGAAGAAGGTGAGAAGTTCTGCTACCTGTAAGCAGGTGGGATGTCTCTAGCAAGCTGACAGTAATCACTGTAGATAGTCTTTCTTTTTTGAGACAAGGTCTGGCTTGTCACCCAGGCTGGAGGGCAGTGGTTAGATCTCGGCTCATTGCAGCCTTGACTTTCTGAGCTCAAGCAATTCTCCCACCTCAGCCTCCTGAGTAGCTGAGAATACAGGCACATGCCGCCACACCTATTTTTTGTAGAGACAGGCTCTTGCCATGTTGCCAAGGCTGGTCTCGAACTCCTGGACTCAAGCCATCTGCCCACCTCAGCCTCCGAAAATTCTGGGATTACAGGCGTAAGCCACTGTGCTTGGTCCCACTGTAGATAATCTAAGTGTTTGTGTATCTTACTGACAAGTTAAATATTCTGCGTAGCCAACTGTCATATAAATGAACTTTTTGAAATGATGAGGTCTTGCTATGTTCCCCAGGCTGAACGCAAACTCCTGGGCTCAAACCATCCTCCTACCTCCACCTTCTGAGTAGCTGGGACTACAGTTACGTGCCACCACACCCAGCTCTAAATGAACTCTCTAGCAATGATGAATTAAACTTATAAATCTTATCAGAATACATGTGACTATGGTCGTTACTGATTTTATACCCATGTCCAAATGTAAGAGTCGAGGAAGCAGTACTGAAGCATGGCAGAAGGCACAAGTCTGTCAGGAGGCCTGAGATTTCTTCATATTATACTTTTAATTCATTGTATGACCTTGAGCAAATCATTTAATTCCTCAAAGACTACTCTTTCTCAACCATAAAATGAAGTTTATCTGCCTCTCAAACATCCATTCCAGTTACGGGTTTTTTCCCTGCTAATTCTGTTTAACTAAAAGCAGATCATCACTTAACTGAATGTTTAAAAAGTCTTAAAACTTACCATGAAGATTCTTGATGTCAAATTTGGTGAAAAATTGCACAATGATAAATTCCAATAACCTCTAAGATTAGCTTGGTAATTTATTTAATACATTTGTAGAAAAAAAATTAAGTAGCTCCCCTGAATTTATTATAATCTACCCATATTCAAGTTATCATTACTTTCGGAGACAGCCAAATGCCTAGGCAGACAAAAAGGGGTCCCCAGAAAAATCTCCCACCTGCCCCACAAGTGTTCACATCAGATGCTTTTGTGCAGATGAGGGAACCTGCCCAGTGCCTTGTGTGAACATGCCCATATGCGCACTGGGGGAATGGGGTGGAACCAGGGCAGGGGAAGGAGGCTGGCCTCTTCAGTTCCTATGTGGTGGCTTGGGATTCAATCTGTGAGGTGCCTTTTCAGTCCCTGTGCAGTAGCCTGGGATTCAGTCTATGAGGTGGGGGCCTGATAACAGGACTCTATCTCGCTTTGGTGAGTTTTTTCTTTTTCCTTTTGCCCAATAAAATCCTGCTCTACTCACCCTTCAATGTGTCCACGTGTCTAAGTTTTCCTTGTCATGTGACAAGAACCTGGTTTTAGCTGAACTGCGGGGCAAAATTCTGCATTTCTAAATGCTTGCATTTGTGATCAAACTCTAATTGAACTGGTTATCAACCTTTTCTACTGAAGGGTCAGATTTAAACATTTTTTTCTGATTACAGAAGTATTAAATAATAATTGTCAAAATTGAGAAAATAGAGAAGAGAAATAAAGCTCCCAACATTCACAGTCTTGAAATAATTACTGTTAGCATTTTGATATTTACCATCCAGCCTTTATTTTCAAGAAACACGTGTAAGAAAGAATGTAAGAATGTATATGTTTTGTTTTAAACATCATTTGGAACATACATATAATTTTCTATCCTGATTTTTCACACATTATTCAGCAAGCATTTTTCCATATTGTTTTAAAAAATATATTTATTATGTCTATATAACAAGAATACACCAGCAAATTTAATCATCCTTCAATTTTTGAGCATTTAGTTTGTTTCTGGCTCTTGGTATTTCCAAATAATTTCTCAGAATGAGTTTCATTATCTGCAGCAGTTTAGAATAGTACCATTTCATTGTATCCTTGCAAATACTGAATATTTCTAACTGTAAAGCTTTGTTAACTTGACAAGTGAATCAATACAAATGACTAAAACATGCATTTTAATTTGCATTATTTTGCTTAGTGAAGTTTTTAAATGTCTTATTCATTTGTATTGCTTCTGAGGATCATTCATATCCTTAACTGAGAGAACAGATTTACTATAAAAAAATTATTTTTAAGTGAGATTCAGTTTTAATAACGGTTTATAGAATGTCTATAGGAAGTGCTGTCAAGTCTATAGCTGCATTTTTTTAATCAAACTTTTTATATTGAGACAATTGTGTCACATGCAGTTTTAAGAAATAATATACAGATGACCGTGTATATCTTTAATCTAGTTTCCCCCAGTGGTGACATGTTACAAAACTATTGCAATATCACAACCAGAATACTGACATTAATATAGACAAGATGCAGGATTTCCATTCCCTGACCCATGGCAATCAATTATTCTGTTGTCCACTTACATAAATTTATCAATTCTGAGATGTTACATAATGGAATTACACAGTATATAAGCATTTGAGATTGGCTTTTTCTTTAACCATAATTTCCTACAGATTCATTTCAGGGTGTGTTCATCAATACTGTGTTCCTATTTGTTACTAAATATTCCATAGGATAGATGTACCAGTTTCTGTAAACATTTATAGTTGAATTTTAATGATTATTTCATTAATACATTTGTCTAATTTCAGGGGTTGGAAGGAGAAAAGAAAATGCTTTCACTAGGAAGTCATTCGGTCATCCCAACATTCACTGAAAGCAAACCATTGGGACAAATGTTATCCTATGCTTCTGATTACAAAACAACTAAAACCCAAATAAAATAAACATTAGTAAGTAGCAGTGCTAAGATTGAAACCAGATACGTATTTAAAGAAGCAAGAAAATGAGTTCAGAGAACATTTTATCATCAATAAAAACTTTCTAAAATGTAACAATTTTTCTAGGTTTAATTAAACAGGCTAAAAACTTGATGTGTCCAGTCCATGAGAGCATCCTCCTATCCACTGGACGAGGTGTCTACTAAACCACATCTTATATCTATTGTGAGGCCAACTGTCTTGAGGCCAAACAAGACGCGAATTATATGGTAGCACTTGAGAGGGCTGCGGACACATTAGAGCAGCTTTCTCTTCCCATCTACAGCAGTTCTGGGCAGCATGCTTGGAATGGCAACGCTGACGTCCCCGAAAAACCCCAGCCCTCTTGCCAATTTCCTCTGAACCCCAACTACCCAACCCAAAATTATGTGAAGATCTGATTTTCAAACAAAACGAGGACAATAATGCACCATTATTACGTTTCCCTAAAACATTAACAGTATGGAAATTAAGACACAAACCAGAGACCGGAAAAAAATCTTGGTGCGTTCAAAGTAACCTCAATCAGTTCCCGAGTCTATTTTCCGCTTATGGTGCAGTATTAACAAAAACTAAGCACACCGTGCAGAGAAACGCCCCTTCGCACTTATGACTTCCGGCCTGGGACTCTGGCTCCTCACACGCCTTTGATACAAAGTTCGAAGGCTGAGCCTTAGCCATGCCACGCCCAGCGTGCTCCGGACGAGGATGCCCGAAACTGCAATGAGAGAGGGAAATTTCCTAGTCAGGTCAAGGTCCAACAAAACAAACGTCCGCACGCAGGAATTGAACCGTCTCGCAGGCAGAGGCGGCTGAACCAGGAGCGAGCGGAAGTGACGCACAGGCCGGTCGCCAGAGAAGGCGGGGCACCGAGGTAGCGCGCCCAATTGGGGCGCGGGAGAGGCCGGGGGTGTGGCAGCGTTGGCGGCGAGCAGGGGCCTGGGCGCGCTGGGGGCGGGGCCAGGGTGCTCGGCTCGCGGGGACTGGCCTCCTTCGGCAGCTGGAGGCGGTCACTCACGCTGGGCTAGGAGCTGAGGCGAGAAGGGCCATGCGGACGGCGAGGGAGTCCAGAGCCTTGAGCCCGGTGCTCCTCCCTCGCGCAGCGGTGGCTCTGCGGCCGCTGGAGTAAACACTGCCTTTGTTCCCTAGCGCCTCGTCTTTCGTCGCCCCGTGCCCTCACGCCGCCGGGCTCTGGCCGGCCCGCCCTCGGTCCTTGAACCCCATTTCGGCTCGTGCCGTGCGGATGCAGCTGCCGGGCCTGGGTTTGGGCATTGAGCGGGAGGAGGAGGAGGAGCGGCGGCGCCTGGGCGGCATGCGATGGGGAACTGCTGCTGGACGCAGTGCTTCGGACTGCTTCGCAAGGAAGCGGGGCGGCTGCAGCGAGTAGGCGGCGGCGGAGGGTAAGCCCGCTGGGGGAGGGGCCCGGCCCCCGTGGCTCCTCCTCTTCGGCCCCCGGCGGGGAATCCCTTTCACCGTCCCCCGGCGGCTGGAGGTGGCGGTCGAGAGCCCTGCTACACTCACTGCTTAGCAGACGTCAGACTGGTGGTCGTCTTGGAGGCCCAGTCTGGGGTCCGGTCTTGGGGCCTCCTCGGAAAGAGGTAGAAGAGGGGGCGGGGTGTCCCTCCTGCCAGGGCGCCCTGTCACGCGGGGAAGGAGTCACGGGAGACATCATCTCCAGGAAACAAGGGGTAGCTTCGCGCTAATGGGCTGTAGGACCGGCTCCACGGCAACCTGGACACACCCTGCGCTGAGCTTAGGTTTAACGCCAAAGCTAGTATCCCTGTATCTGACCCTCTCTTTAGCCCTGGCAGAGCAGGTGGGATCTGGCTCCGGAGTTAATGCCTCAGATTGATTTTAAGTAGAAGTCATTTGGATGCTGGAGTAAAATAAGGTTCCAGATACTGATGAACTCTGGTAGCTACAAAGACTTGCTGAATTGCAGAGTTCCCAATGGGCATTCAGATTCTTGGTGCTCATAACTACAGGGACAATGTGTAATTTTTTCGTATTAAGTTTTTGAAATTTCGAGAGGAATTCCTTGCCCTGATTGCTACTCAAACGTCCTGTAACATTAGGTAAATTGCAGTCCTTCTGAACTTCACTTCTCTTGAGTAAACCTGGGATATTGCTTAGGTTTTGTATATGCACCATCCACAGAATAGTAATTTCATAATTCCGTTTTTGTGTTTTTTTATTTCATATATATTGAAAAAATTAGAGCAAATTCCTTTGGGGTTGGCTTTGTTGTTATTAAATGTCCCTCCGGAATTCAAACCTAGAATTGAAAATCTGAACCAAGCCAGTTTGTGTAAGGACTAAGACTGTTTTGCACTTTCTGAAACAGATTGCTAATTTTTCATAATCTGTTCCATTTAACTAACATTATTGGGTAATAAGATGTTCAACATAAATAAATTGCAGTAAATGATCATAATTTGAATCTTTGGTAATGGAGATCTTATAAAATATAGGATTCTCATTCATTAATTAGGCATTGTGTCACCTCTCTGATACAAAATAGCTAAGGTTTTACACTAAGTATCCCTAGAATGGAAGGGCAAGGATTTGCAGTTTGTGCCTAGTGTAATATTTCGATTTCCCTAATTTATGAGTTATTACTCTTGAGTGGGACATGACAGTTGTTTTATCTTGTCATCCAGGATCATCTGGTTTAAGTATTTATAATTTTTGTGTGTGAATGAAACTTACAAGGTCAAGCTGCTTAAGTAGGCTTGCCCAATAACTAGATGCCACACAATCTTTGGCTTTTACTATTATTTGTAGTTGTGTTACAGGGCGTTAAATTCTAACTCCAAGAAAGTTGGTTGGTGAGGGAGCAGTACTTACATTCTAAATGGATAAGCAAAAAACTTTATATTTGACTTTGGACTACATGATGTGTCTGTGGACTTTAGTTTTGTTTTTTTCATGGGGTCTCCGTAGAGTACGGCATTAAAATTGTAGGTTCTACTCCCTCAGCTCGTGAGCTTGGCAGCACAGGGAGGTGGCAGGAGGAAATCCATGAATCAGCGTGAGTGTTAATTGTCTGTAGATATGCCATAAAAACATAAGCAGGTGGAGTATTTCTTTCTTTTTTTTTGAGACGGAGTCTCGCTCTGTCGCCCAGGCTGGAGTGCAGTGGCGCGCGATCTCGGCTCACTGCAACCTTCGCCTCCCGGGTTCACGCCATTCTCCTGCCTCAGCCTCCTGAGTAGCTGGGACTGCAGGCGCCCGCCACCATGCCCGGCTAATTTTTTTGTATTTTTAGTAGAGACCGGGTTTCACCCTGTTAGCCAGAATGGTCTTGATCTCCTGACCTCATGATTCGCCAGCCTTGGCCTCCCAAAGTGCTGGGATTACAGGCATGAGCCACCGCGCCCGGCCAGCAGGTTGAGTATTTCTTATCTGAAATACTTGCTTTGGAGTTCAGATTTTTATTCAGATTTTGGAATATATGCATTATATACTGGTGTAGTATCTGAAAATCTGAAATCCAGAATTCTCCAATGAACATTTTCTTTGAGTAACATGTTGGCACTCAAAAAGTTTCAGATTTTGGAACATTTCAGATTTTGGGTTTTGGGGTTAGGTATACTCAACTTGTGGTTGGATTTTTACTGTTTGTGGGCAAAGCTCTTTGAACAAGTCCTGTGGAGGCAGTGAGAGTTTATAGGTTGTGGACACTGTCATCTAAAATTATATAATGGTGATATTGATCCTATTACTTTAAGTCTATAAACAGGATTTGACGGTTCCCTTACTTGAATTTTCTGATTAACTTATTGTTTAACATCAATTTTAATACTGTTTTAGCAGCTTCCAGTAAGCATGTAGAGACAGATGGATATAGTTACTTGTGCAATAAGGTTAAACTCTTATTTTAGTTTTTTTTTTTTTTTATCAGCTGTTTTGATTTTCTTTCAAGTATAGGTCTGGATAGTTAGTAGTTCTTCTAAAGGTGAAAAAGTTGAGGAGTAATCACAAAAACTTGATTTGATCCTATATGTCTTTGTAGTGACCACAAAAGAAGAGGGTGTCCTCAACTTTTTTAGCTTGATTTAAGCTAGACTTCACAGGGAAGCCTTATGATCTAAGGCCTGGTTTCTGAGTCTTGCAGATTGACATACCCCTGAGAAATCTGAAAATCAGATCACTCGTTTTTTACTATTTTAATCTCAAAACCAGAATTACCACTTTTTCCAGTTTATAAAATACTAGGGAATTCTAGTATTGTATATTCTAGGATATCTGTTTCACCAGTCAAAATATCAATATCAGTGTTGACGTATGTTGGAAACCCTACTACTAATGAAGTCATTTGGTGATTAAAGCAGAGAGAATTAAATATCTTTAAGGAATAAAACTTAGGCATCCTAATGAGTCATACTTCTTCACTGGAGTTTTGCCTGCCAACACTTTCTACAGGGCTCCATCTGCTGGTCAGTTCTCCTGTTTCTCTGAGCAGGCCTTTGTATAGACTTAGTTTTTTCTTTCTCAGATAGAAGACCCAATTAAGTTTTGTTGTGTTGTATTTAATTCCTATTTCTATATTACTGTATAATTCCACATAGTGATTCCACTTAAGATAAACTAGTTTTTATAGAAAGGTAAACCATATTTTGTATCCTCATCAATATGTAACATTTGTTGGCCTTTTTGGCTCCAGCAGCCAAGTTGCTTTCAGGCAATAGTTCACAGTGATTTGCTTTTCCATTCCTAGTAAAAATGATTTTAATAATAACTGACAACATTCCGTTACTTCCTATGTGCCAGGCACTGTTCTAAGTACTTTATATTATCTCACTTATTCCTCCCCGCAATCCTGTGAGGCAAGTAAGTATATATATTATATATATTATAGGTTGAAAACTGAAACTTAGAAAGTTGAACTTTCCCAAGATAGCAGAGCTGGGATTGCAACCCAGGTCCCTCTGAATTCAGAGTTCTTATCCTTAACCACCACAAATAGTTCATGGCACTTTATTCTATAGGTAAACATTTGGTTGCTATCTCTCTCATTGCAGTATCTTGAACGTTGTCACCAGAAGAACTTATGAATATACCTGAACAACTTGACTCTTTATTCTGTGTGCTAAGCTGTCTTTTTCTTGAAACTATGCGCTTGACTTCCACAATATCACCTTTATCTTATTTTCCTGTTTCTCTCCTAGCTATTCTTACTCTGTCTATTAAATGTGGAGATTTTCTTGTCTTCTCTTTTTTAATTTCCTTCATATGTGTATTACCTGCCCCTGAAGAAATTTTACCCATTCCTATGATTTCAACCACCACTACTTCCAAATCTCATCTTCTGCTTGTAGATCTTTTCAGTTGTCTACCTAAGAGGCACTCTTGGATATATTCAATTAAATCTCTATATATTATTTTCAGTCTCTCCTTAAACATACTGAACCTGTTTTCTTCCTGTCTTCTGCCATAAACATTGCCTTTCAAACTGCTTAGTCAGCAGCTTCCAGACTACTCTCTCTATTGTAGCTCTCATACTTCAGCCCACCCTCCCTTCCTATCATGAGTTAGGCTTTCTAAAACCCGCATTGGATTGTTTCTTTCCTTTGCTCAGCAACTTCCATCTGCTCCCTGATTCCCATAGCTAAATTTCTAAGTCTTTTTTTTTTTTTCCCCCAAAAAGGAGTCTCGCTCTCTTGCCCAGGCTGAAATGCACTGGCACAATCCTGGCTCACTACAACCTCCACCGCCTGAGTTCAAGTGATTGTCTTGCCTCAGCTCCGCAAGTAGCTGGGATTACAGGCACCCACCACCATGCCTGGCTAATTTTTGTATTTTTAATAGAGACAGGATTTCACCATGTTGGCCTGGCTAGTCTCGAATTCCTGACCTGAAACGATCTGCCCACCTCGGCTTCCCAAAGTGCTAGAATTACAGGCACGAGCCACTGCGCCCGGCCCTAAATTTAAAAGTCTTTTTTCCTTCTGTGACAGCATGATGAATTACATGGCATTCAAATGTATGGCATACTGTCCCTTTGTATACTCAGGATGATATTTAGTTCTATATTTGGGTTTCTATAATCTCTTTGTCAAAAAATGTCAGGATACAAATCAGTGAGAAAAACATTAAAAGAATAACATTAAAGCTATTCTAATTTCAAAAAACGTGTCATTCATAAATCTTAGCATTTTAACTTTTTGATAACTTACTATCCTCCCAACTACTAGTTTAAACTTTGGACAAAGCAATGTAACCTTAACCTGTTTTTACCAGTGTTATTCTCTCCCATCCTCTCTCTTACCACTTTTAATATCCTATATACCAGATGGACTGTGCTTGTTCTTGTTTTCCTAAAATACAGTGTTTTCTTTTTGTTTCCCCAAGACGGAATCTTGCCCTGTTGCCCAAGCTGGAGTGCAGTGGTGTGATCTTGCTCACTGCAACCTCCGCCTCCCAGGTTCAAGCAATTCTCCTGCCTCAGCATCCCGAGTAGCTGGGATTACAGGTGTGTGCCACCACACCTGGCTAATTTTTGTATTTTTTAGTAGAGACGGGGTTTCGCCATGTTGGCCAGGCTGGTCTCGAACTCCTGACCTCGTGATCCCCCCGTCTCGGCCTCCTAAAGTGATGGGATTACAGGCGTGAGCCACTGCGCCTGGCCAAATACAGTGTTTTCTAACCCTGTGCCTTTGTGGGTGATATTTATTTTCTTTTTTATTTTTATTTTTTTTGAGACGAGGTCTCACTCTGTCACCCAGGCTGGAGTGCAGTGGTGTGATCTAGGCTTATTAAAACCTCCACCTCCCAGGCTCAAGCAATTCTACCTCAGCCTCCCAAGTAGCTGGGACTACAGGCGCAGGCCACCACGCTTGGCTAATTTTTGTATTTTTTGTAGAGACACGCAGGGTTTCACCATGTTGCCCATGCTGGTCTCGAACTCCTGAACTCAAGTGATCTGCATACCTCAGCCTCCCAAAGTGTTGGAATTACAGTTGTGAGCCACTGCGCCTGGCCTCTGTGATATTCCTTCTTTTTTTAGTTTTTTTGTGAGCTTTCACTTACCTTTACCTTACCTTACTTACCTTCCCTATGAAACCCGCTCCAAGCCCCTGAAACCATATTATCTCCCTGAGGAAATAATATTTTCTACAGGCTTATTTTTGCTCTATATCAAGGGTTGGCAAACTTTTTCTGTAATGGGCCAGATAATATGTATTTTAGGGTTGGCAGGTGGTATGGTCTGTCACAACTACTGAACTTGCCTGTTTTAGTGCAAGAGCAGCCATAGACAGCATTTCAACAAATGAGTGTGGCTATATTTCAATGCAACTTTATTTACAAAAATAGGCAGAGGGCCAGATTTGGCCAGTGGGCCATAGTTGCCAACTCCTGGTACCATATGTACCATGATGTACGCTAAGAGCTCCTCAAGGAGGTCAAGGACTGTGTTTTATCACTCTCTCCATTCTCAGTATCTTACATTTGTTGAATGAACAGCCAGAAGAGTTATTTGAACTTGCAGGATCTACAAAACTACAATTTCTCCTATCCTTCATTTTTTTAAGGCCTAAAGATAATTCCCTAACTTTGGCAAAAACACCACATACCCAGATACTTAAACACATATCCTACCAGTTTTATATTGACTCACTATTTTTTTTAAAGAGATCATATTGAGTACCTTTGAGAATTTTAAAAATATTTATTATAATATATATTGCTAAAATATAGAAATCAATAGTGTCAGCATTAGAAGATTTATTTTGGTTCTGCATGTTTTTCAGTTTTGAAAAAATATAAAAGTGTAAGATGTTTCTCTTGGAATTTCAGAAGATAGGAAGGAAAACAGTAGTGCATTTAAATGGATATGGATTTTTTAAACATTCTTTGTTAAACCTTAAAGACTCCTAAGACTCTGTTCTGAATATCATTCCATTTTTCCCTAATACATTTTTAGTCTTTAATGTACTTTTCCTGGGTAATGGTACTTCACCTACTACTTATATGCTAATAAGTTCAGTCATCTCAGTCTGAGCTCTGAAATATCTAATTGCTACTGTGTAGTTCCACTTATCTGTCAAACATAACTGTAAATTAATTGTGTAAAGCTGAATTCATCTTTGTTTCCTTCTCATAGCCCTTTCCTCCTTTTTCCTCTTTAAGCCCCAGCCTTTTCTACTACTTCGTTCCCTACCTTGTGAGTGGTATCTGTAGTCACCTAAGCCATGAAACTAAGAACCATATCAAGTTCTTTCCTGTTACTCACCCTTTAAACCCAGGTTATCAAGTCCCTGCCTTCTGAGTGGCCCCTACATGTTAGATCTTTCTAACATCTATATCCTCTCTGCCTTAAAACAGACCCTTCTGTCCTCTATATTTGTAGTTCTACCCTCCTGATACGCCCTTTTGAACTTGTGTCTCCCTAATCTGAAAACCAAAAGGAAAGCAACATGAAACCTTATGTAGACTCCAACATCTCCCTCTAGCTGTTACCCTGACTACCATGTCTCCCTCCAGCTATTAACCCTATCTCCTATCTTTTCTCTTAAATATGTTTCTTAGGAATTGTCTCGTCTTGCCTAGTCTTGATGTCTTCTTGAGAAGTGTTTCCTCACTTCTCACTCAGTCTTCAAAGTAACCTAATGTTCACCTTTCCTGCTGCTGCTCTCCTCTGCATATTCATTTTCTTCTCAGTCATGACATTTTGGAGTCCTTCAAAACTTCTGTTAGACTCTTCTCACACTATACTCTCCTTAAAGAGTGACATGCATATAGCTGCTAACCTAGGGGTTGTCTTTGACACTGTTCCCCATCATCCCATGTTTCCAGTCCATCCTCAAGACCAGATGATGTCTTTTTTATCTCTTAAATAACTTTTCAGTCCACCCACTTCTCTCGCTGCTGCCACATTAATCCAGGCTGTCGTCATTTGTTGCCTAGATTTCCAATAATTCTGTGTGTATTCCTCGTTCACCATTCTCTGACACTACTTTGTTTTCCTTCATGGCGCTTACCACTCCATGACTTTGTAGACTCCGAGCATTTGTTTGTCTGTTGACTGTTCTCCCTTAATAGAGTATAAATTTCATGTGGTCAGAGACTTTGTTTGTTCCTGTATCTCCAGTGTACCAGCGGTGCTTGCCACATAGTAGGTGCTCAATAAATATTTGTCGACTGAGTGAATAGACTATCAAGTGGGTCTACCCACATATATTCCTGACCTTTTCCAATTTATCCTGCACCCTGGAATCGAAGTGATCTTAAATGCACATCTGATACTCTGGTTTCTCTTCAGAGTCAATAGATCTTTTGCCTTTTAAATGCAAATCTGTGACACAAATACAACATAAATTCTGAAGTGGCTTACCAAACTTGTAGGATAAAGACTGAAATCTTAATGGAGCTTTCAAGGCTCTGTGTTTATCTTTTCCTTGCCTACCTCTTCTTTCTCCTTTTATTTTTTTATTTTTGCTTCATGTGTGTCACACTTTTCCTTGAATCTATTTCTTTCCTTTTTACTTAGATGACTCCTATTCACTCATCTTGTAGATGCCAGCTTAAGAATTCTTTCCTACAGAAGTCTTCCAAAACCATCTCCTACCCTCCAGAGGGTAAGTCTGCACATCATCATGGAACCATCTGCTTTTCTTCTGTGCATGTTCTTAGTTTATAGTCATACTGATATAGTGTGATTATTTGGTTAATGCTTGTCTGCTGCTCTCAATAAAAAGGAAGGAGTTTATGCCTGTTTTTCCATACCACTGAATGAATACCCAGCTCTCAGTTAAGTGCCTAGTACATATTACATGTTCAGTAAATACTTGTTGGCAGAATTAATGAATACAGTATCTTGAATATGTCAGGTTCTTTTCACTCCCCCTTGCCTTTGGTACCTGCCGCTCCCTGAAACATCTCTTTTATCTGCTTGGAGGCCTGGCTCATTCCTCGGCCTCAGGCTGATTTTTGATGACACCTCATCTGAACATATCCCCTCTCACAGCATAGTAGTTGTTAATTTACCTGTGTGTCTACCCTGTTAGATTATAAGCCTTTTGGATACATGGGTTTAAAATATTTCAAATGTATAGCTATGCGTGTTACTGTATTACATAGCTATGCCTGGCTATGCCTGTCACTCAGTAACTTACAGAAATAAAAAATTGGAAGATTCAGTGGCATAGATACATAAGTGGCAACAGTTTCCAAAAGAAGAGGGTTGTCAGTGATTTCAGATGCTGCACACAAATTGCAGAGGACAAATAGCAAAGAACTAAAAGACCTCTAAGGTCCCTTCTCATTATTAGTTTCCTTTAAATCAGGCTCTTAAAAGGCAATAACTGTTTTTTAAACCCTTGCATTATGTCTTTGACATGTTTGGAGGGAAGAATTTGTCTCCTCTCTGCCAAGGCATAAAATTAAGTTTTTGAACATATTCTTCGTAAACGTGTCTTTATTAGGAAGAAGCTTATTAAACAGTAAATATGATTATTATTACTACCTGTATTAGTCAGGGTTCTCCAGAGAAATGGAACCAGTAGGAGATATCTGTATTTCTATGTTTACATGTAGGTAGATATATATAAACAGATATAAAATGAGAACTGTCATAAGGAATTGCCTCATATGATTATGGAGATTAAGTCCCACAATCTGTTATTTGCAAGCTGGAGACCCAGGAAAGCTGGTCGTGTAAGTCTCAGTTCATGGGCGGAAGACCAGTGTCTCAGCTCAAGCAGTCAAGTAGAGAGAATTCAATTCAACCTTCCTTCAGCTTTTTTGTTCTGGTCAGGCCCTGAATGGATTAAATGATGGCAACCCACCCACCTTGGAAAGGGCAATTTGCTTTACTCAGTCCACCAATTCAAATGCGAGTCTGTTCTCTAACACCCTTGCAGATGCACCAGATATAATGTTTAGCCAGATATCTGGGCATCTGGTGACCCACTCATGTTAACGTATAAAATTAACCGTCACATCACCTTATGTCACTGCTATCCCTACCTGGAAAAATGTGTTGATTTTATCCCTTAAGATTTGAGTGGTTAAATCTCTATTGAAATATTTGATACTAATTGGAAAACAATGTTTCCATCATCTTTGTAATACTTTTTGCCAGGCATTAGATTTATAATCTTTCCAGTCTTCTGAAAAAAAAAATAGCATTCTTGGGAAGCTTTTAATTTTTAATAGACTTTGGAACAATTTACCATGATTCTTCATCATTTATTTATAGTGTCAAGCAAAACATACAGGGAAAGACTTTCTTATTTTATTCTGACAGATATAAAGAGGAATATGAAGAAAAGGTACAATATCAATGTAGAATTTGTGATAATTTTTCAGTTACCTTTTACTTAAGTCACTTTGATATGAGTATTTGCCTGCTATGCAAAACAAAGTGAGAAGCATAAAATACTGCATTTTAAGCCTATTCTTAACAAGACTGGTTTTATCTTTAATAAAAGTATCTTGAAATCTACCTTGAGAACATCGATAAGTGAATATGTATGCAAGTATCTCCACTTTTGTACCACGTTAGTTTCAAATTCTTCCAAATTTCTGTATATGCCTCCATCGTTCAGAGTATTATTCTCCAGGAACCAGTCATAGCCTTTCTTTTCTACCCCTCTGATGTCCTTTATGTGTTTGAATCTGTCTTAGGCTGTGTCGACATAAAGGAATATCTGAGACTGGGTAATTTATAAAAGAAAAAAAAAGCTTACTTGGCTCACAATTTTGATGTCTGGAAAAGTTCAAGATTGGGCATCTGCATCTGGTAAGGTGCAGACTGCTTCCACTAGTGGCAAAAGGTGAAGGGAAGCCACTGTGTGCAGAAATCACACGGCAAAAGAGGAAGCAAGGAGGGAGTGCCAGGCTCTTTTTAACAACCTGCTTTCATGGGAACTCACTCATAACCATGAGGATGAGGTTGGTACCAAGCCATTCATGAGGGATCCACCACTGTTACCTAAACACTTCCTATTAGGCCCCACCCCTAACAATGGAGATCAAATTTCAACATGAGATTGTTAGGGGACAAACATCCAAGCTATAACACAATCCACTTTCACATCTTCAGTAGTAGTAGAGTGGATACGCAGAAGCCTACTTTACTTCATTTAGAGACAGCTCACAGGACCATAAGAATTACATGTAAATGAATGTCCATGGATGACTTGGAGGAACTCTAGACTGTTAAGAGGAAAAAGTACACTTCTATTTTCTTTAAATCATTGTTTTTGGAGCCTCTTTCAGCTCCTCAACTTTCACCCTAATTAACACACCTGAATATACATGTTCTTGAATAGAATAGTGGGTTGCTGCCCAAATTACTTATCGCCTTCCTTTTTCCTCCAGGGCATGTGACTGGATTCATGAACGTTAAATGCACATATTATGTGCCCGTAATCATTTTCTTCACAGCTCAACTTTATGTGATACTGCTCTATTGCTAGAGAATTCTTCCAGCTTCTCACATCACTTTGTCCTTTATCGTTTCACTGCTGGCATTTAAGTCTTATGTCTTGGATTTACCGCATTTATTTTTCTCTTGTACTTTCACTCTTGATACTGCTGCTTTCATATTACATCCCCATTGGGATTCTGACACTTCTCCCATCATCTCTTGTTTTCCAGTCCGTCTCCCAAACCAGATGATTTTTATCTTGTAAATATTTCTTTAATCCTTCCACTTCTCTCACTGACACCACCCTAGTCCATCTTATTCTTGCTTAGCCTCAAATTTGATTGCATACGTTATTCATACGTTCATTCTATACGTTTATCCCCGCTCACTGTTTAGGACTTGTATCATTCTTGGCACTTGCAGGAGCAGCTTCTTATATGAACCAAGGTTTACTTCTGGTTCAAGTCATTCATTTCTATTCCTGTGCAGTATTGTATTATATGAATAGGCCATAATTACTTCACCCTTCTGTTGATGGGCATTTAGATCATTTCCAACTTCTTTTTTTTTCTTTTTCTTTTACAAACTACCTCAATTTGTGCAAGGAGATAAATGTCTCTTTGTACACATGTGCAGAAGATTCTTTAGGTGGATATACCTAGGAGTAGAATTGCTCAGTCATAGCTTATGTACCTCTTCAAATTTACTAGAAAAATAAAACTTCTTCAGAGTAATTATACTACTTTAAACTTTTACCAATAATGAATTTTCATTGTTCCATTTCCTAACTCTTGGTATTGTCAGATATTTTTTCAATCTGTTGATGTGAAATGCAATCTAATATTTTGTCAAAACTTTATTGTATAATATTCCTATATACCAGCAACAAATACTGCATATTATAAAATTACCTTTTAAGATAGCAATGAAAAAATATAAGAGACTAGTAATCAATAATAGATGTGTAAGACTAGAACAACGTTTTTAAAGATGCCATCTAAATAAATGCAGGGCAATACCATTTTCATGGGTAAAAAGACTCACTGTGCTTAAGATGTCCTCTGCCTATTTACTTGAAATTTAGTGCATTTGTAGTTAAAATCCTAATAGGAATTTTGTGGAACTTAAGCTGATTCCAGCAATTTTAATGGAAGAGCAAAGAGCCATAAAGAGCCCACAAATTTTGAAGAAGGAAACTTGTCCTATCAGATTATAGACTCTAATAATTAAAACCCTGTTGTATTGCCACAGCATAAACTAGTGGGTGAACGGGCTGGAATATAATACCCAGGCTTTCTTAGTCAACTTGAAGGTGAAGCTCAGTAATGTTTATTTTTAAAAGGCAATTGTTTCATGCCACAGGATGAGAATAACTGCTTTTCTAAAACAGAGTTGTCAAGACTAAATACCTATATTGGAGGGTTTCTAAATGTAAAATGCCTAGTTCAGGGGCTCATAACCATTTTTTTTCTTTTGTACATCAACTCCCAAAGGTGTGCAGTAGTCTCCTGTCAGTAATAATGCAGTGTTATATTGATTTTTGCCCAAAGATGGGTGAAGGAGACCTCCTTAGATTTACTCTTGCCATTTTCTGTTGTTGTTTCCTATGGTACCTCCAACATTCACACCTCCAAAAATCTCTGGTCTGTATAAACTTGGAGTTTTCTTACAGAGTTGTTTTGTTGTCATTATAAATGAAATTAATTTGAGATTCAGTAGGTTTAGTCAGAAGTTACAAATATGAAAGCGGAGAATACTGTTTTTTAGCTTCCTTATTTTTAAGCAATTATGTTTGCATAATAGAATCTTAGATTGTTCTGTACCAATTTACACTATAATTTTATTTAGCAAATGTAGGAAGCTTTGTACAACATGACCTACTTATAGGCTAACAATAGGTCTAAAAAAGTAGGGTGGCTATTCTCCTTTATTTTTAGATTCTTAAGCAGTTACTATTGAAAATAGTAGATCAGATTTTCTTTTAACTTTAAATGTCACCAGATTTATATACTCCTAATTTTTAGTGAAAATCTTTTTATGAATAATAGTTAATTAATAAAATAATGTTTTATGCATAATACAATTAAACTTATTTTTTTCTTATAAGAATGCTCTAAAAGCATATAATGTGAACAGTGTTATATATAAAATTAGCGCACTTTTAGATTCCAGGCTACACATATTATCAGAACATGTATAGCAGTGTTTTCAGCTACAGAACTGTGATGGATTGAACATGGAGGGGGAAGAATTAAGGAAGATCTAAAAGATATTTATCTACACTTGACCTTGGATATATGTTGAAAAGAGCTTACTTTTTGGAGTTTAGATACTTTACGTAATTTTTTGTACTAAGTCCTCAAAATCCAATGCATGTTTGACACATAATAGCCTTTAAAATTCAGACTAGCCACATTTCAGTTGCTCAATAGCCCCTTGTGGCTAATGGTTATCATTACTGGACAGTGCAGATCTATCCAATAGGATAACAATAGTTCATAGGATGATTCTGGGAAGCAAATGAATATAAAATACATATTTTAAAAATAAGCTTCGTTCCTGACCCATTGTAGGTCCTCAGTAAATGCAAGCCTCTCTTTGCTCTCCATTATATTAATAGCTTGTTATGTTTTGGGTTTTGTAGCATATGTAGTTGGAAACTTCAAGTCAATAAAATATTGACCTTTTTTTCAAATTGAAGAAAATAAAATGTTCTTATTATTCTCTAAACTAACAGTAATTGAGAGTCAGCTTTTGTAATAGATATTGCTGCTTTTGCTCATTTTGCTTCCTATCTTTCCTTCTAAGACTCAATTTTCACCTAAGATTATTAGAAATGTACGTTAATAGTTGGCACCAAATTTCTGGTTTTAAACTGTGATCCAGTTTCCTTTTGTCTCATTTTTTTAATGATGCTGCCCTATATACGTCTAAAACTTCATTCTTGAAAATATTCTCAACCAGCACCTATATAATAATGAAATATTACTACACAGTACTTGGGGGACTTGAATGATGAGTTATGTGATTTTTCCTGTGGCTACTTTTGCTGTCCCATTAATATATAATTTTAGGCTGGGTGTGGTGGCTCACACCTGTAATTCCAGCACTTTGGATGACCGAGGCAGGCAGATTGCTTGAGGCCAGGAGTTCGAGACCAGCCTGGCCAATATGGCAAACCCCCATCTCTACTAAAAATACAAAAATCAGCTGGGCATGGTGGTGCACGCCTGTAGGCCCAGCTACTTGGGAGGCTGAGGCAGGAAAATCGCTTGAACCCAGGAGGCAGAGGTTGCAGTGAGCTGACATCACACCACTGCACTCCAGCCTGGGCGACAGAGTGAGACTGTCTCAAAACAAACAAAAAATACATAATAATTTTGTTTGGGCAACCACATTGGTGATTTCGTCATGTCCCAGGCTCTCACCTTCAACCTCTTGGGTCAGGTGAGAAAACCAAGGTAAATTTAATAATTTAAAATGGGAAATGTAACTGTCAAGGAACTATATAGTACTTGTGTCTAGGTAAAGACATTATTTTACTATAAGCATAGAATAACAGGGTGGGAGGTGCTTAGTGATTGTAGATTCAGAACAAAGAAAGTTAATTATACAATTCAAATAACCCATCACCTTGGAACACTACCATCCACTGGGACCAGATAGCCCAGTTCCTTGAACCAGGGGACTTTTCTACAGAGTTTGGCTGAACTCTACCAACATTTCTTTCTCTATTTTGTATTCTTCTGTTTCTTCATTTTACACATCTTTTTTAAAAATATGATTAACTTCCTTCTCTTTCTTTTAAATCTTACAGGAGCCCTTCTGTTTCCTTAAGTTAACTTAGCATGTGAAGGTAACTGATCCATGATGTATTGTTTGTAGCTTTAATTTCTGTTTTCTCTGTTTCCAGCTTACTGGGAGATAACTCACTCTTCCTGTGTCCCCAAGGAAGAGACTATACTTCCATTTCTCGATATTACTTAGAAGTAAAATCCCTAGAAACAATAGGCATATGTATGTATTGGTAGTAACATGAAGTGTATGTATGGGAGGGGAAAAATTGCTGACATTGCATCTTTGTCTACAGACAACCTTATTGGGATAGCAAAAGCAAGCAACATAAATTTCCTGGGTGTGAAGAAAAGAAGAAAAGAAAAGTACTTTTACTGATCTGAGATTGAGAAGTAGCTCCAGGGTTAAATATAGGAATACTTTTAAGGAGTTTTTGGGCTGATGTTTATGTTAACGTTGTAGTTTCGAATTTGAATAGAGGAGTCTCACCCAGACTCTTTGTATGAATGTCAAGCTCAAGGCATCTAAAAACACAAACCTGCTTCTTTCCCAGGCTTCCTCATCTTGGTAAATGACAAATCCATCCTAATTGTTCAGGCCTCAGAGTTAGGAGATAGCCTTGATTTTTCCTTTTTACACACATCCTTATATCTAATACATTAGCAAATTCTGTCAGCCCTGTCTTCAGAATTACTTCTCATTACTCCCACTATTGTTACTGTGATTCAAGCCACCATCATTTCTTCGCTCTACTATTATAATAGCTTTCTAATTGACCTCTTAAAACATATGTCAGCGTGTCTTTTAAGGATCTTCCAGTGAAGTTGTTACAGCTAATAGATTCTTAAGGAATGATAGAATTTAAAAATCATTGTTTTTGTACTCTGTAGTGAAATAATGGAACTGAGTACTGATTATCAATGGATGTTAAAAACCATTTGGTAAAAGCTTGATGTGAAATATTATGATGGGTGGATTAGGCTGACATAAATATCCTAACTTACAGATCATCAGTAAAAGTGAGGCAGGCAAAAATAAAGTTCCTTATGATTTGATTCAATAGCAAGTACCATTAGTGAAGCATTCTTGCCTAAAAAAATTAAACTCAATATAATCAAGCTTTTAAATCAAATTACTAAAATGCAGGAAATACAGGGGATAGAAGAAAAAGTTAAATAATACCAAGAGGAAAAATATCAGGTAAATCCAGAAAGTGAGAAATTTTGTAGGACAAGTGACACAATTTGTCTAACAAATCAGTGGCATGAAAACAGACACTGGTGCTGGGAAGGGGGCTGATATGGACTAAAAGAGGTGCAAGAGGCCTAACAAGCAAACATACTCTGTGGGGCTTTTGTTTGATTCTGATTTGAACAAATCATATGTGAAATATGGGGAAATAGAAATATAGATTGGACTACACATTAGATAATATTAAAGAAATTATTTTAAATTTTGTTGGTATGTTAGCTTTTTAAAAAAAACAGTTCTTAATACTTTAATTAAAGATGCAAATTGAGGTAAGGGTAAGATAACATGTCTGAGATTTGCTGTAAAATACCAACAAAAAATAAAACAAAAAGGAGTATAGTATAAATGAAACATGATCAGGAAGTAGTAACTTTTTAAGTGCGGTAATGGGTACAGGGGGGCTTATCAATCTCTTCTCTCTGCTTTTGTGCATATTTGAAAAGGTTCATGATAAAAGTTTTAAAAAACAGAGTGAATGCTAAAGACAAAAATCTCTTCTGTGAGTTCTTATCTAATTAATATTAAAATCTAAAACTCTTCCCATGGTCTATAAAGGCCTGTGATCTGACCCTGGCTATCTCTCAGACCTTATCTCCCTTCCTTCTTCATTCCAGCCATTCTGACCCTCTCGCTTTCTTAGAATGTGCCAAGTAGAGTTTTGCCTCAGAGCGTTTGCTTTTGCTTTTCCTCTGTTTAGAATTCTTTTCCTCCAGATATCTGTCTAGCTGGCTTCCTCATTTCCTTGGGGTCTTTGTTCTGCCTTTGCTTTAACCGAGAAGTCTGCCTTGACCACCCTACATAAAATAACCTCCTGTTCCGGGTGCGGTGGCTCACGCCTGTAATCCCAGCACTTTAGGAGGCTGAGGCAGACAGATCACCTGGGGTCAGGAGTTCGAGACCAGCCTGACCAACATGGAGAAACCCTGTCTCTACTAAAAATACAAAAAATTAGCGGGGCGTGGTGGTGCATGCCTGTAATCCCAGCTACTCGGGAGGCTGAGGCAGGAGAATTGCTTGAACCCAGCGGGTGGAGGTTGTGAGCCAAGATCGTGCCATTGCACTCCAGCCTGGGCAACAAGAGCAAAACTCTGTCTCCAAAAATAAAATAAAATAACCTTCCTCCTCCAATCACGATCCTCACTTACTCTAAGGTACTTTTCTTTAAAAAAAAAAAATGTATAGGCTTGGTGCAGTGGCTCACGCCTGTAATCTCACCACTTTGGGAGGCCGAGGTGGGTGGATCACCTGAGGTCAGGAGTTTGAGACCAGCCTGGCCAAAGTGAAACTCCGTCTGTACTAAAATTACAAAAATTAGCCGGGTGTGGTGGTGGGCGCCTGTAATTCCAGCTACTTGGGAGGCTGAGGCAGGAGAATCGCTTGAACCTGGGAGGTGGAGGTTGCAGTGAGTCGAGATCCAGCCACTGCACTCCAGCCTGGGTAAGAGTGAGACTGTCTCAAAAAAGAAATATATATATATATAATTTTTTATAGATTTAGGGGGTACAGCTGCAGATTTCTTACCTGTATATATTGCATAGTGAGATACCATCTTGTGCCAGTCAGCGTGGCCATTACTGAAAAGTTAAAAAGCAATAGATGTTGGCGAGGATGTGGGGAAAAGGGAATACTTAGCCACTGTTGATGGGAATGTGAATTAGTACAAATTTCATGGAAAACAGCATGAGGTACTTTTCTTTCATGGCAATTACTATCATCTGATGCATTTATCTATGTGTTTATTATCATTCATTCACAAATTGTTAGCTCCAAGGTGGCAGGACCTTTATCTGTTTGTTGACAGTTGTATTGCCAGCATCTAGAACAGTGCCAGGCACTTTAGAAGCACTTGATAAATATTTATGAAATAAAAGTGTAAAACTTGACTTAAGGTTTAATAGTTGAGTACTTCCATTCCTTTCCCCAGTTGTTCCGCTTACCCTTCACTTACATTCTCATCCTTACCTAGGAGCAAGTAGTGAAGGATTGATTGCCAAGAGCCTCATTGAGAACAAAACTGAAGGAAAGAACAGAAAATGCAGGATAGTTTATTATAGGAAACATTGTAAAAGGTGTATTCCAAATTTGCTAGGCTTTTAAGCATCCAATAATATGGAAAGATTTGAGTTTTCATTTTTCATTTCTTAATAGCTCTCCGAAATCTGAAATGGTCCTTTCAAACCATTAGGACGTTGGCTTTCTAATTATTTTTAAAACATATATATTACATAGAATATAGAAAAGTATGTGAAAAGTTATGGTTTTATATGGCTGGAAGTTGGCAAAATGTCAGTGACTGAATTTAATACATCACATGTCTGAGGGTCCTATTCAGTCATCAATAATGTTTGAACAAGTAAACATAATTCAAGCATACTTGAATAAGTAACTTAATTCATGGAATATATACATGTTATGTTTCTTGGTATTTTCAGATAAGTCACAGGATAAAGCTCCCCTGATAAAAATGTTGACCCTGAGTTTGCCAAATCGAGTATTTACTTTATCAGTATAATCTTAGCTTTTATTGTGGTAGGAGTCAAGATATGCATTTTGTGAACAAAGTCTCAATCTAATCCATTTTAAAAGGAAAGCTTGAATTTTTTCCCAAATATATTTTGCTTTTCTCTCAAATATATTTTGCTTTTCTCTTTATCTTGTTTTATTTATTGCTATTCTTAATTTACTCCCTTGTCATATCACTTATATTCATGTTTATTAATCAGGACTTTGTGGGGGACAGAAGCCCAATTAAAACTATCTTAGGCAAAGGGTAGAATTTGTAATAGGGATGTTAGGTTTCTCAACTAATAACCAAACCATGAGCAGGGTGGAATGCATCTGGTTCTTAGGGATGATTTTGATGCTGTCAGAGCACTCTTTCAGTTTATTTCATTCCTCTCATTGCGCATTGTCAGAAAGCATAATCCCCAGCAACTCTCTAGAGCTCTCAGAAGGATATTGTCTCTCCCTGCTCAGTTTCTGTGTAACCCTGAACCAGTCAAATGAGGTGTGAGGGATTGACTGATTCTAGCTTAGTCAGATACTCAGGGATTCAGAGTCATGTGAGGACGTGAGTGTCCTCACTATAGCTGGCTGTGAATAGAGGGGACAGAAAAGGGAGATATTTACAACAGATAACACTTTTGCCTACTACTAAAGTTAGTTTGTATTATCTATGTATAATTAGACTAGAACATGGTGTTCTGCCATCTAATACAAATGTAGTGTAACAGTTACCTTGGTTTCGACAATGTTCTACTTAGCTTTGGGCTTTGCCACAGCAGTGAAGTCATACTGATGGCTCCTATTGATAGTATTACTGGGCTTTATTTCTAATTATTCAGCTGTACCACTCACTAACCTGGAGGAGGAAACAGATTAATCAGAGACAGATTCTCCATTCAGGGAAGATAGTGATGGTTGCAGGGAGAGAAGCATATAGCACTGTAAGCAGGAATCCTAATGCCAGAACCCAGTGCTACTACTGAAGGTTCAACTCATTTCTGTATTTGTTTGAGAAATAAAGGAGAGAGAAGAGTGGAGGCACTAGATAGAGGATTAAGGGTATTGCATTTATGTTGGATATAGTCCATGAAATCTGTGGAATTGTAATACCAAATTCTTTGCTTTTTACCAATGATCTTAGTGGACAATAACACAGATTTGCATCTATCAGCAGATAAAGATTATAGCAGGAAAAATAGTTCCCATAATTTCATTGCTATTTTTTTCCTTCAGTCATGATATGGCATTCTCTTTCACTAAACCTTCATCCACACACATACACATAATACAAAGAATTCTGCACTTTGGGAGTCCCAGAATTACTTGAGCCCAAGAATTTGCGACCAGGCTGGGTAACATTGAGACCTCGTCTCTACAAAAAAATAAGTGAAGCCAAGCATGGTGGTGCATGCCTGTATTACTAGCTACTGGGGAGGCTGAGGCAGGAGGATCACTTGAGCCAAGGAGTGCAAAGCTGCAATGAGTCAGGATTGCGCCACTGCACTCCAGCTTGGGTGACAGAGTAAGACCCTGTCTCCAAAAAAGAAAGAAAAGCAAAAGAATTCTGACCTGTCCTAACCCCAGGATTCTCCTTGTTTCTTAAAAGTGTGCTTTCTGTCCATGAATCCTGATGATTTAAGAACACTTAGTACAAATTTGGATCCCCATTGTATGGCAGTGGAGTTCTCCATCAGTTTTGGCAGCTGTAACAGGAGCCACATTATGACTGAAAGTCCCGTAATCTCCTGGCACTTCCAGTTACAAAGGACTGTGAGTGGCCCTCTCCTGGGATGCCAGCTTGGATGCTGTAGTACTTAGAATGTAGACATATCTTTGGAGGATATAATAAAGAAGATTCCTATTTGACTACATATAAGTTTAATAGGAGCAGGAAAGAATGATTAAAATAAAGTCAATATTTGGCCCTAGTTGGAAAAAATAATGTAATGGATTGTTTGATTGACATGTATATGCATTGTTTTTCTCTTTTATTTGTGAGGGCATGGGAAGATAACAAAAGTCTTGAATAAAGACACGTGATTCCACCACCAAAGATAACTACTCTTAGCATATTGACATATATACTTTTAGATACTTAATGTTCTGTGTATTTTTAACAAAATTGAGAACATATTCTTTTTATATATTATTTAACACATCAGTATTTTTTAACGAGGTACTTTTCTTGATGTAGTAAAAATAATGAGATACATTTTAAAATGTATTCTACTCAATGTAGTAAATATAGTAAATTAATTATTACAGATTTAGTAAGTGTTAGTGCCAATAGAAAGAAATATTGATTGACTAAACAAAGTCATAATGAAGTTTAAAAATCTGGACTTTTTATAGTCTTAGGTAAATTTTGTTGTTCTTTTTTTATAAATATAACTATATGTTAGAGATTTTAAAGTTGCTCTTGAGGAAATAAATGTTTTTATGCTATATATTAATTCAATCTTAGAGTTAATTGTGTTTTTTAAAGTTATTCTGTTTTCCTTCCCAGATCCAAGTATTTTAGAACATGCTCAAGAGGTGAGCACTTAACAATAGAGGTAAGTAGTCCTTAATTTGATTGAATTAAAAATGCCTTCAGAAAGGCGGAAGGGGCTTTTTGTTGTAAAGAGGGAAAGATCTGGACCCAAATTTAGAATGGACTGTTTATATTTCAATATTATTCATGTTAGTGAAGATTGAAAGAGTTGGAGCAGTGAGGGAAGGAATGAGTAGGAAGAAGTTTGCAGAGGATTATGGTTCTGTTTTTCTAATAGCTTTTTCCCCCACCCTATAAGTCAGGGAGAAGGTACTCTTCTGTCAGTAATAGTGGCTCACTAGGGTATAACGAGAGGTGGTTGGCCTGCCCCAGCAGGGGGGAGTCCAGAAACAAAGCAGGAAGTTGAGTTTAAGCAACTCCACAGCAGAATGACCGAGTCACTTTTTCTTTGAATGTAAAATATAATAATAGAAACTACCATTTATTCCTTACCTACTATAAACTAGCCACTCCACCATACAAATTAAGAATGTCATCACAACTCTCTTGTAAACAGGTGGTGGTCACCCTGTTTCATGGATGAAAAATCAGAGGCTTAGACAGGTGGAGAAATTGGGCTATATTACACAACCTATTAAGTGGCAAAACCTAAATTCTAGTCCAAACTGCCTGGCTTCAAAGCTGGAACACTGTACTTTATGGCCTTCTATATTAATAAGGAAATGTGTAAGGCAGGAATTAGATATTTAAAAATCACAAACTAATATAAAAAAAGATAAAGATAATAACTTTAACAGTTTTATTCTTTTTTCAGAGAGATTCCTTAATTTTCTAAACCTTTTGAATTCATTGTTTTCTCTCAATCTTTAAGCCAAACAGTATTAACAATAAAACACCTTTTATTTCAGGTGGTTACTTATCAAGTTATTTATATTTAAAATAAAAACACTTTAGTGATATAATAGTAATGACTTTTATTAGGTCACTGACATAATAGTGTTAAGCACATTATGATCAAACTGTTTACATTCCTATCTCTAGAAAGACATTGTATTTGGGGATAGTAACTACCACTTAGTAGATTTTCAGTAAATAACTATATGAATGAATAGACGGATAAATATAAACGTGGGGAAATTCTTATTTGGTATCTTTTAGTCCCCATTCCTTGAATAATTTTCCTTCTTACAACATTTGTTCTGTAGTCAAGTGAAGTGGAATATTCTGGTAGCATGGAATGAAATTACTTGTATGAAATATTCAATTCAGATGAAAGTTTTAGTTCTGATTTATGTAGAAAATTGCTATAATTCTCCTGTTTGATTTTCATTCATAGAAAGTCATAAATTAAAATAGTATATGCTTGTCTTGGCCATTTTGTAGGACTGTTAAATATATCAAATGAAATGATGTATTAAAGAGGCATTTGAATTAAATAGCTTACAAATATAAAGGTATATTATTTTTAAGTGAAAAAAGTAACATAATTTCTTGTGAGATGTATACCTAAGACAAATAT